>NC_000006.12:9453939-9605454 GCF_000001405.40 Homo sapiens | reverse complement strand
GTCCATTATAACTGGGTCAGTGCAACTCGCTGTGAAATGGTTAGTTTTTCACAAAAACGAAGCAAGAAGACTCTCACTTCAGGCTTCATTTATCGTTTTATTTGTATTATTGGTAACCTGAAAAGGAAAAATCACAGTTTTGTTTGTTTCAAAACCTAACACACTGTAAATTTTAAATGACTACATTAGATTTCAGACACATTTTTTTGTAAATGCAACTATTTGCTTTTAAAAGTTATTTTAATAATAAGGTCAAAAATATTAACTTTTAGTGACTACATGAATTTTCTATAGCGATGTTTGGTTTCCTTAGAAAATCATGACGTCTTTTTTTATTCCATTTACTGTAATTTAAGATGTAATTGTCAGAAATATTTTAGAGATTCTATAGGCCTTTACTATAAGAAGCACTACGGTTCAATCTTACAAAATATTAAATTTCTCTATACTTCATTTATATTATCTTTTGAGGTAATCAATCATTAATAATTCTTGCTTTGTATGGGTCTCATATTTTTAATTTATACATTTATGAAAAAATAATAAGATACACATTTTTTAAAATATTTTTACATATAAAACAATTTTTGGCATTTTAGATTTCCTTTAAATCCCTGAATAATTAGGACTTCTGAAAGCGTAGAAAAGAATTGTTCTATTATTGTATTCATATGTCCATTAGAAATAATATATGTATCATATATTGAGTAAGAAAACTTTTCTTGGATTCTAAGTCATAAGAAACGTTTTAAAAGTTATAAATGCAAAGAAGCAGTCAAAATTTAACATATTAATTATAATATATGGTTAAATGTCTAACGTAAACATTGTAGAAATGAAGAATGGAACCTTTATTGTATAATGATAAAGATTGAATGTTTTTACTTGAATAAAGGTATGTTCGCTTTTAATTCTGTATATTTTTCTGTTATTGAATTGGATCTCAGAAAAGACATCTTGACAGGTGACCTTCTAAATGTGAAAAATTTTCATGCTTTTTAAATTTGTTTATCTTAATATTTGGAAATGTTTTGAGTATTTACATTATGAATATATTTTAAATCCATGCATCCAAAAGGCAATACTTGAGATGAGCATTTTCAGAATATGTGATTTTTATCTTGACTCCATTTGATGACTGCCTAATACTGACGTCTAATAAGGTAGAAAATAATTCGCTCATCAAAAAAAGCAAAATGAAAAGCAATATTATATATATGTGTGTATATATATCTACACATATGTAGATATAAAAAGATACGATTATATTTAGGGTTATGATAAAGTATCATAAAATGGAAATATTAAAATATTTTGGTGCATTTTGGAATTATGTTAATATTAATCTAAGAACTATCTATCTACTAATATATTGATTGTTCTCTTTTAAATTCATAGATAATATTAGTTTCTCCATTATAGTCTATGGAAGAAATTCTTCCATAATTACTTGAAACAATTATTTTAAAATAATATTATAAAACAATGTAAAAAATCCAGGTGCTTAGCATCAGTTATTTAAAAATATTTGTTTCCTATAAATTATTTTTAATCCCACTTACATTTTCTGAAACCCAAACATAAAATCATAAAGTTTATTTTATGTGCAAAATTGCATATAGTATGCTGAGTGACACTTAAAAGGAATGAAACAGTAACAGTAGCTTATTTTCTGAAGCAATCTTGACACTAATGCTAAATTACAACTTGAAAACATCTAGCATTTTTACCTTTATGAGAAAAGGCTTTTTACATATTTAACATAATTCTAGGGAAAATAAACTAGAATTACGTATAAAGATATGTACACTGTAACCAAAGGGCATTTATATTCCCCTGTAGAATACTTACAATGATTTTATTGCCATTTTGTGTCATTTTCTAAAGGATATAAAATACAGCCAGTAAACAAACTAGACTTTAGATTTGAGCTGACAGCTGTTCTTTCAGAAGCAATATTCAGATATTTAATCTTAAGAACGTTGAATAGTTTACAACCAAGTAAAGTATACTTTTGCAAAAATGGAAGGACTATGTGCTGTGGCTTATAATTTTCACAGCCGTGATGATCAACAGAGCCACCACCACCAACACCCAGGATCCCTATATTCCAGGGAATAAATCCCAATGTCAGCCCTGAGTTCAATGAACCCCTCAAGGAAATTAACCTGTGTGCTTTACTTTTTCAAATTGAAAACATCCTTTCTCTAAAATGATGATGATTCAACCTATGACTTATACAGTGTCATATTATTTCTAGTGCTATTTTTGAATTCTATAGTTTTAATCAGGTAGCAATCTGAATTTCATTGAGGGACTCTTCCACTTCATTTCCGAATCATCATGAGTTGCATCAGGACTCCAAATGTTGATGTCTTGCTGCAGTCAGTGAATTAGTGCTATGAATACATACCTCTTAGTGTTCAGTGGGCAAATGACATCAAAATTTACTACCAGAATTCTGTTTCTATTTTATTTTTTCTCCTTATCTCCCTAACCATATTTATAAAGGCCTCTCACTGAAACTTTATGAATATTGTATATTTTCGGCAGCTAGATTTGACCCATCCCACCAGCTCAATGATAAATATATTTCATTTTTCCAATCTGACACTTGAGGAGATACCTACCCTTATTAGCAACCAATTAACTATCTCTTTCTTAAGGCCTGTTTTAGCTAGAAAATTTCTTAAGAAATCCAGATGCTTCTTTACATCGAAGAGGACCAGTCCTGCTTCAAACACAAGACAAGAGTTTATGTGAGTTATTGCCTCCACTGCTATGGGTGTCACCATTGAGCACGGCCTTGGCACAGGCTGAGAGATACTTGTTTGTCTCTGCTGAGATTATTTTCCAATCACACTGTCTGGCAGTGACACAGTGGTGTTTCAAGCTTGTAGTCTATTAGTTCACAATCATAAGTCCCTAACACCATTGTGGTGAGGACCTGAGTGGCTAATCAAGACCTCAGTGGCTTCAGCCTCAGCCACAGAGAGTGCCAGATCTAATTTTCCTCCAAAAAAGTTGATTCTGAGTTTTTGTCCGTTTTTGTTGTTGTTGTTGCTGTTATGGAGGGATAGAATTTGGAGTTCTTTCCTCTGCAATTTTCATTAAAACCCTATATTACTTCTCAGAGGTAGATTCTGACAGTGAAATTACTAGCTAAAAGAATATGAGAATTTAAAAGGATGTTTATATGTGTGTGTATGTAATATCTGCTACATCTGTTTGTGTCTGTATGTATCTGAATTGCCCTCCTGAAATATGAACAAAGGTATAACCAAAACTACAGTGAATGGAAAGCTTACCCAATAATTTGATAGTCTTTTTGGCTGTAGTCACACAAACCAAACTATACTTCTATGACTTAATGGGATAATGCTATATTTAAAATATGAAACCGCTGGATATCATCATTCACTGTCCTTTTCTACCTTTGAAAGAGGCTACATGACTAGGTTTGTTTTTTGTTTATTTTGTAAGCATGACCCATTTAAATACAAGTTTCTCATAAGATTTCAGTCATTAGTAATATTCATTTTCTAGCCACATTTCTTCCCATTAATCAATAATATCCACAAAACAAAATAAGTATGACTACAATGTTGTTTGTGTATTTTTAGCACACATCACTTAAATGACTACACAAATTACTACAAATTTAAAATGTTCTAAGATTTATTTATAATCACATTGTAGTGATTAGAAAATGAACTTTTTCACACAGAGTTAACTTAGAAATGACAATCTCCTGGGTGTAGTGGCTCAGGCCTGCAACCCTAGCACTTTGGGAGACTGAGGAGGGTGGATTGCTCAAGCCTGGGAGTTCAAGACCAACCCGGGCAACATCCCACCTCTACAATAAATAAAAATATTAGCTAGGCGTGTTGGTGCATGCCTGTAGTCCAGCTACTTGGGAGGCTGAGGTGGGAGGATCACCTGAGCCTGGGGAGGTCGAGGCTGCAGTGAGCTGTGATTGTGCTGCACTCCAGCCCCGGTGACAGAGCAAGACCCTATTTCAAAATTTTAAAAAAGAAATGACAATTAATAAATTTCTTCAGGAATTGCAGTTGAGGGTAGTTATGTGTTTATTTTGTCTTCCCCAAACCTATCAGGCCAAATTTGCTAATTTGATGTATGTCACGTATACATATAAATCATTTTTTACAAGTACATTTTTGATACAGTATGGTGGCAGCTGTGATGAGGACAAGGGGAATAGTTATAGGTGTGGGAACAAATTAGAAAAATCAGAGTAACCTGGAAGGCTGTGTGCTTCTGGTCCATGTCCCTGCTGATGTATAACCAGGCAGAAAAATGATTCCAGTTAATTCATCCAGATGAGAACTGGAAAGTTTCTGAAATCTCCAGCAAACAAAACCACTCTTGCTCCCGCTTCCTTCTTACCCAAGCACTGTAGCTTGGGTAAGCTTCTGTTAGCATTTAAGACTCTTTAAAGAATTCATACTAATAAAGAGGTACTACGGAGTAAGGAGACATCCCAACAGTTTGTTTTCTAGGCAATAAAGTGATGATGAAGGTTGTTACTCTGAATCTAATTCTCAACAACAAAGAAAGATTGTAAATAACAAAAAACTGAGGAGAAAGTGACCTTCTCATTGTGGAACTCCTGATGAAGGCTGAGCACCATTTAATTTAATACTCGCAAGGGCATTTCAGAGGTTCAGGGAACTGGCATGATGGATCTGAAAGGGAAGGCATTTCAAGAGCCTTGGAAAATGCTCTAGAATTGTAACTCTGGCTTGCATTATTAGATAGCCTTGATAAGAAAGAAGAGAAGGCATCTAAATAAATGCCATGGTGCACAGAATGTTTCCCAACAAACTTAAGTTTTAAAAGATTACATACCAAGATATAGAGAAGTGCATAATAAAGAATAAAAGCAAAAGATAGTTAATAAGAATGACAGTTATGCCTGGAATTCCAGCACTTCAGGAGGCTGAGGTGGGCAGATCACTTGAGCCTAGGAGTTTGAGACCAGCCTGGGCAACATAGCAAGACCCCATCTCTACAAAATATACAAAAAATTAGTCAGGCATGGTGGCACCTGCCTATAGTCCCAGCTATTGTGGAGGCTGAGATGGGAGGATTGTTTAAGCCCAGGAGGCAGAAGTGGCAATGAATGGATATCGTGCCACTGCACTCCAGCCTGGGTGACAGAGCCAGACCCTGTCTCAAATTAAAAAAAAAAAAAAAAGAATGACAGGGCAGCCAGTAATGGAAAAGGACTTCACAATTTCAAGTACCATAATGTACTATCGATCCTTGTCCAAGGATACATAAATTTTCCTCAACATTATTTAGTTGTATATCTCAAACACCTAATGTATCTCTGCATAATCACAAAGGATATTTATTAACTCATATAAATGGGAAGTACCATAGCTATTCTGATGGGATTTTGACTCGAGTTAAAAAAAATTATCAAATCTCTTCTCTCTTTTTTTCATCTACATTGGCTCATTCTTGAGAATGTTTTCTTCATAAAATGACATAGATCCAGGCTTTTATGATTCCTCCTACTCGCTATCCTGGAAGATTTTCTTTTCCTGGTATTTCCATCAGTACCCTGTTTCTCTGTTTGCTCACCCTGGAGAGACGCTTTATGATTGGCTGGGCTTGAAGATTTATAGTCTCATCAGGAGATGGAAGAGCAGCTCTAGTTCTGCACATGTACCCCAGAACTTAAAGTATAATTAAAAAAAGAAAAGAGAGAAAAAATGGCTTCTGCAACCCCCAAAAAAGAAAAAAAGGCTTGTCAGGTAAGCACATGCGCCCTTTGCTATCCAGAGAAATACATTCAGTTTGCCAATGTGCACGTAGATGTGGCTCCCGCCTTTCTCATCTGAATGGCCTTTGGTGCAAGAGGTCATAAATTCTGGTGGAAAACAATCCTTCAGCAGAATGCTTGGAAATGTTAGATACCTTCAAGATGTAGGAGAGGCGTATGAAGTCAGTGAAATTGGTGATTATTCTAAACAGTCCAGGAATAAACCCAAACTGTGTGACAAGGGAAGCAGGATGTTGGCATGGCTGTTAGTTGTGCTTGAGTATAATTAGTCTTGTATATACAGAGAGCTTCCTTAGGGACAATGAGTTCCTACTAAAAGGAATGTATTTTCCCCAGACAGTTTTTTATTTCTATGCATTTAATCAAACAATAGTTATTCAAGGCATAAAAGAAAATTCCAGTCTTGTTTTTGATTTTAGATTTCAGTAGAATTAGAAAAAAAATAACTTTTCAAACATAGTTGAACTATTCATTATAATCCTATTTTCTATACTACTAAATATATTTATACAAATATTACGATATTGGATAGAGCTGCTGTAACATTATTGTAAATGTCAGAAATGAAACTCAACCATAAAATCTAAATGATAAGCTTCTGTTATACTGTGGAATTAGAATAATCATGAGGCACTTCAGGGGACTTCCAAGCTACAATTCCAATAGAAAAATAGGAAAGAATTTACAATTGTGGTTTATTCCACCTAAATATTTATTTGAAACATGGTTAATAAATATATGGCCATTTGTCACCACTTTTCAGGTGTTTGGTGATATCAGTGGCTTAAAGCTTGTCCACAGTGAAGTGATCACAGCTATTCAGGAGCATATAAGCAAAACGGACAGCATCCTGGGAGGCTCGTTTGACATTTAATTGAGAGACATGAAAAGAACCCGTTAAAATAAAAAGGTATTTATTTGCTGATTAAATATTTGACTCATTACTATAAATGAATGCATCAACTAGGAAGGAGCCACCAAGTACTACCTCTTTCTTCTTGTTTTTCTAATGCTCCATGTTGCACAAGTCATGGTGAGAAGACTAAGTTCAACTTCCTTTTCAACCCTACTGCCTTGTAATATGTAGTTGACTTAAAGTCAATAATGGGTATTGGAAAGAACACCTAGAAGTCAAGGTCATTGCAAATATGTTTTCAGAGAGAGGAGAAACCAGCTTAATCTTTGCTAGCTTAGAGAGTACTATTTGGCTACTCTGGAAGTTGAAGAGGGACAGGACGCCATTTTTAACATTGTTTGACAGTGGTATTCTTTCATGAAGAGGAAAATAGAGGAATGGCTAAAAAATGGTAAGGTCAAGTCTAAATAAATTCCCCCTCCTCTTCATTTAGCTGAAAAATTTCACTTTTTTTTTCTAGAAGGAACTTAAAGAAAAATGGAAGAATTAAATAACCATGACAAAAAATCAGGTTACGTAAATGAGCTCATTTGTGTAGTATAACTTTTGTATTCTAAGGTAACAACCACCAAGCCCAAACTGGCTGGCTCAGATTTGGGCTGCTCCAATCACAATTCTTTTTAAAGGGTTCAAAGTAGCACAGCCCCCTTTCCGGTCCTCATATAATCTCTTTCATTTCCCCTTTACTCACTTGCTTTCCTCTCGTTCAACTGAAGATTAGGTATCATATGTATAATCACAAAGTGATAAGAGGGTTGAATGGTCATAAAAAGTCCAGCATCATTAAGAATCTTTTGTCCACTGTATAGGGGACATCTCAGCTCCCTGACCTTCCTCTGCACATTTAAGGAAGGATGAGAAGTGTTTTTTTAGCCGTATCTCTCAAACAGAAGGCAGTGCTTATTAGAAGGGTCAAAATAGATACCAATAATTAAAGAACATGTGAACGCATCTAATCCTAGTGATTTTTCAATTCCCAGCTTTAGTCATTGTCTAACTACTATGATATTGTCAGTGTAATATAAGAAGTTTGCATGAAAGGTTACACAATGTGTTTCCTCTGTTGGCAGAAATTATCAAACATATATACTATCAACACGTTTTATCCTCTGTGGCTATTATTGAAGAGCAATCAACATACATTAGTGTCTCTGTCAACAGATTTTAACTTTACAGAAACTAATAAATATTCCAAACATGTTATAATAGTTTAAATTATTGGCCGGACGTGGTGGCTCACACCTGTAATCCCAGCACTTTGGGAGGCCAAGGCGGGCGGATCATGAGGTCAGGAGATCAAGACCATCCTGAGACTAACATGGTGAAACCCCGTTTCTACTAAAAATACAACAAATTGGCCCAGCGTGGTGGCAGGCGCCTGTAGTCCCAGCAACTCGGGAGGCTGAGGCAAGAGAATCGCTTGAACTTGGGAGGCAGAGGTTGCAGTGGGCCGAGATCACACCAGCCTGGGCGAGACTCCGTCTCAAAAAAAAAAAAGTTTAATTTATCACACCTGCTCACCTCAGACAACTAGAATCTTCCTTCAGATACTTAAAAGTCACTATCACTGACTTCCTTCCTTCCTCCCCTCCACTCTTGAAAATATTAATACTTATATCTGTGCTCACTATATATTTACCTCCACTTTTACTTAACAGATTTATTAAGTAAAAGTAATTACACACTTTTGTTTCCCATTACAGCGTGAGTTACCTGTTAACAGAGAACTTTTAAAATGTATCTTCCATTAACAGAACTTGGAATAGTGCTTGGTACTATGGGGGAGCTTGGTAAACATTTGATGTCGGAAAGATGGCATGAAGGAGGCATAACAATAGCATTAGGGCCGGTTCTTTATTCTGCTCTTATTTACAGTAGAAATAAGTCCACACAAAGAAACAAAGAAAAAAATGGGGCTAGATATATTAAAACAAATTCTCTGATAGACCTATATCAGCACAAAATACCCTGGGAAGGAACAAATATATATATAGAGAAGTAGATTTTCTGCATCTTACGCTGTGTTTCACTAAATTATTAAATCAAGTCAATAAATCCAAAGTCCTATAGTAAATTTTTAGCTGCCGTTTGCTTAACTGAATTAAAGTAAATATCTGCCAATTTTGCAGGTCTGTCATTTCTATTTATAATTTCCTCACTAAAATTTAAGGCCTATGAAGGCAGGGATCATTGTCTACTTTATTTAATGTTACCTCCCCACTTCCTAATACTGTACTGAATTAATAAGTGCTCAGCATATTTTTGTTGAATGAAAGAATAAACTGATATGTCACATTTCACTTACATTTATGTGTAATGTGCTAAATGAATGAATTGAATGAGCAACGCAGAAATCAGCAATCAGTCCATTGATAACTTTTCCTTTTGCGGGTTTCCTTTAGGAAATTGGTGGCCCCAGTGGAAGGATGAGTAAAGAAAAGCAATATTTTCTGCACCTGAAGAATGCCCATGGCCACAGTATATTTTCTAATCCGAGGCATCTTCTACTACATTATTGCGAAGCATGAGTTCAATATTCTAAAATAGAAGTCTGCAGAGTTTATTTTGTTACTGTTATTGATTTTCTATATTTGTTTTCCCTGCCATTGAACTTCTCTTACTGGGCACTATGTACTAAGTAACAGGTTCAACACTTGAGTTTGTCTTAATCTTTTATAACAATATATGTACACATAGGTGTTTGGTGTGTAGAAATTTACTGACCTGTGTTTTCATGATTTCTCTCTTTTTGTTAAAAAGTACCATTCCGAGGTTCAGGGCTCAGTATTATCACCCATTTCAGTGTTGAGATAAGATTTGACACAATCTACACCTGAAGTAAACACTGTGTACTGGCATTGAAAGAATCTATTTAATTTAGACTTTTTTTGATGTACATGTATGCTTAGTTTCTTAAGAAAAATAGAGACAGATAAAAGAAACTTGATTCTTATAATCAATTTCTCTCATTTTCTGTGACTCTTTATGGACCGCAAGTAATAATTCCATGGATAGGGAGAGATGGGTATAGTCTTTGTAAACAGATTCTCTGTAAGAACTGAGTTCTAATGTAAGAGGCATCGCTACAGTGTCCCCTTAGGAGAGTACATGTGTTTACGCACAGTGCAAAGTATTATTTCAAAATTCAGAACAGGTTTCTGAGGGACTACATATCTGTGAATTTAGTCACCAGTCTTTTTCAGTCTAGTGAGGATAATTTATAATACTAATAATTATTTTTAAGGCCTCTATTAGTAAAACAATACCAAAAAACTTATGTGTATATTCTCAGTGATTTCATTGGTAACTTCATCTCTAGTATTATAGTTGGTTGCTAATTGACTTGTGTCATTCACACTGACATTGTTCTTCCTACAGAGTAATATACAGTAGAAAATATGATTGTAATTGAAAACTGTAAATAGAAAAACCTTTTAATAGATTATTTTTGCTAGTACCTACTGTGCTCTTATTGTCTAAATAAATTATTCATTTGGAATGCAATTCTATTAAGGATAAAAATATAAATAAGAAGAAATTAAAATTTTAAATGCCTGCTATAAATTCAAAAGTGAGATCTAGTAAATATTTCTTGTATTAAGTTCAGTGACAACAGATAGATTATATTAAGTGTCAGTTAAGCAAGTGGATGAAAAATGAGTAATTTTCATCCTTCAGTTAAGTATGGTGCTAAGTGGTATGTTGCTAGCATTAAAAGCAAATTACTTATCACTTCCATAATCACAACATGAGAACATTCTATTGGAAGCTGTATTTCCAGTCTGTCTGCATCCTCAGTTTTATTAAATAAATCAACTGATAATGCTTGGATAAGCAGAAGGAAAAGCTTTTATGGCACTGTGGCATTTCTGTTTTATAAGTTCTTATTCAAGATTCTCCAAAATGGTCTTTCCTATATATTTTAGTCACTAACAATGCAAACACACACACGCACGCACTCTATATACATATACACATATGTTTACATATACATATACACATATATATACAAACTATGTACACACACACACACACACATGCACGCACATATATAAGCATGTACATACACACAAGTTCTTTGGGTCCAGCCAGCCATCTATGTGAAGCACAAATCTCTTTTACTCCATCACTTCTAGTTGGCCACCTAGCTCAATCTTAAACACCTCTAGAGATGGGAAAAATTGTCCTTTCAAATGAGAACTCTTACAACTGGGGAATTCTTCCAATAATTTGAAAATACCTACTACCAATTTGGAGATTCTCCTAAGAACTTGCTTAGTATAACAGTGAAGAGCCTGGCAAATGATAAGTCCTAAATAGCTAGTGATTGAGTGAAATAAGGTAAACCTAATCTTTTTTAAAAACACATTTTTTTTTCTTTTGCATACAGTGCATTTTATATAGATTTTCTCTTTTGTCACTGGTGAGGAGTTAGGGGATGGGGAGAACAGATATACTGAGGGATGAAGCAGGTGATGCTAGGTTCTGCCTCCAGGGATCCAGAAAAAGTTCCATTACTTCACAAAAAAAAGTATTGTTTTCTTACATACTCTACCAGTGCCTGAAATGCTTTAAATACGACCAGATATATATAATATGCACTGATACACTGGTCTGTGGCATGAACACAGGGATCTGCTGAATGGAGAATTTGCTTGATCTTGGACATTTGATAGATTAGAATGGAAAGGCTGTTCTCTTATTGATTCCTTAATTTATTGAGACCTTGGAAGGAGCAGAAATTCTCTCCTAAAATGGTATAAATTCCTCAAGGATAATGACCCCCATGTCTGGGTCAAGCTAGGAGCTCAGTAATTGTATGATAAATAGGTGAATAAATGAATAAAGAAATGAATAAGATAGTACAGCACAGTGGTTAAGATCTGGGGCTCCGGAGCTAGATCTAGGATGAAATCCTGCCCTATAGCTTAGTAATTATGTGACTCGTACAAATTACTCAACCTTACTGAAAGACCTCAAGTGGTATTTGCTAATCCAGTGATGTAATTAGGCATGTATACCTGGTTCAAGAGTGCACAATTGGAGAGTATGTCTGAAGAGCTGATGTACTCTGTCCACCCCACCCCAGGAGAAAGACTATCTGACACTAGAGTTCACCTGGTCCCATGTTGACCACACGGAATGTGAGAGCTCCACAGCCAGGAAGGGGATTTAAAGGGGTCTTAAAAACTCTGCTCCAGGGTTCACAGATCATTATGAGTGCATGCACCAAGTGTTCTTTCTCTTTGAAGCTGACTTGATACTTTCAGTTCAGTCTTTCTCTTAATGGATTTTGTTGCCCTGATTCTGTTGTTCCACTAATTCTATACTCAATGTGAGAAGGTAGCATCATTTTCTCAATCGTCTCCATGAAAGCATCTGAAGTAGTTGCACCCAATCACTCTGGTGGGGTTTTACCAGTGTCCATTTCACGGGGTGGTTGTGAGGAATACCATGAAGGATGAAAGAAATTTGTTAGCTACTGTGATTAGCTAGGCAAATTACTGAGCTTAAGAAAAAGAAAAAATAAGTAAAGTATAAAAAGGAAGACAGTAGTAGGGAAGAAAAAATGATGGAAGGATGGAAAGAAAGAAAAAACTGAAAGGAAAGAAATAATATATTTCTATAAGTAAGATGATGATGATGATTGAGATGGAGTCTCACTGTGATGCCTATGCTGGAGTGCAGTGGCACAATCTCGGCTCACTGCAAGCTCCGCCTCTCCAGTTCACACCATTCTCCTGCCTCAGCCTCCAGAGAAGCTGGGACTACAGGCGCCCGCCACCACGCCCGGCTAATTTTTTGTATTTTTAGTAGAGATGGGGTTTCACTGTGTTAGCCAGGATGGTCTCGATCTCCTGACCTCATGATCCTCCCACCTTGGCCTCCCAAAGTGCTGGGATTACAGGCGTGAGCCACCGCACCCAGCCTTCTATAAGTAAGATTATTAAATAAATTGGTAGCTCATTTAAAATTCCAGTGTATACCAATTTTACTTCAGAAATATTATACTAATTTCTACTTTAACCATAAATGGTAGTTAAGTTAACCTCTTCTTTCTCCAGATTTTGCTGCTAACGGACATTAATTGTAAAAATATTTTCTTATTGAAAAGGTGAAAATATTTTATCAGAAATGATGTTTATTTTACAGGATCAATGAAAATTTATAGTTTTACTGTTGGAACTCACTTTCTTATTGAATTGTAATAGCTCTTTATATAGTAAGTGCAGTAAAAGCTTTGTCACATATGTCACCAAATTATCCCAAGATTGGCAAGTATTTCATTTGCTTTAAATATATTTTGGCATACAGAAGTTCTCAATTTTTATGTAGTTTAATCTGTAGTTTTTCTTTATTGTTTTAACACAGTGTATCAAATAGTTTATTTTTTCCCTGATATTTGAAATGCCACTTTGATTATATAGTAACCCATTTAGGTTATTTTTTCCTGGAGAGTGTTGCTGATTCATTGATTTATTGTCTTTCTCATGCTAGTGTCAGACTCCATTAATTAAACGTAGGTCATGGATGAACCAGGGACATCCTATGGTTAAACTGCATACTACTAAGAAAGATTTTTTGGCAACATGGGAAGAATGAGAACAAAGAGAACACAGCATAAAGAGGAACACTGGACCGAAGTAATGGATAAGTGAGAGTTCATTGGATACTATTTTTTTACTACTTGTGAATAAATTTAAAATGTTTTATAAGAAAAAGTAAAGAAGGTTATAGATATACAAAGAACAGGTATGCCGTAATATTGTGTACTCATTGAAGTTTCATTTTCAAATCATAAAGAATTACATGAGGAAGTGTTCAAAATATAATGTGGAGTGAAAAAGGTAAGATGCATATACTATGGTCTCAATTATAAAAAATACATTGTGTTTAAAAATTTGAAAAAACACATACAGATATATTGATAGTAGCTATTTGTGAGTGCTGATATTGTACATTTTATAAGTTTCTTTTCTTTCTATATTTTCCACATTCTCTACTCTGAGCTCATGGTACTCTTATAATCAGTCCTGAAACAGCAAATGTAATTTTAAGCACTAAAACCACTGAAGAAATTAGGAAAGTGTATGTGGTGTCACCTATGGAACTGAAAGCTATATTATATTTGTTAACATTATCTGTGAAGAGAGATGTCCAAAAGTGGCACACGGGAATATTTTAGAAGACAGAACCCCTTTGAAATAGAAACAGAAAGCTGTTAAGTAGTGGACCAGCTTACATAAAAATGTAACAGGATGAAATAAAAAGAAAAGTAACGGAGAACGAAAGATTAATGAAAACTAAAAATGAGAAATTAAAACTAAAAATGCAAAGTTATAAGACATCTCAGAGGCTTGCAACTGCAGATTTGATGCTGCAGAAAATCAAATCATGTCAATTGCATGTCTATCACTTTTCCCCTGGTTTGTCCCTTTTTGTTTTTTTCCTTCTCAACCAGCTTAACTTTCATAGTCATCCAACATCATCACTCCTTAGGAACTTACACCTGCGGCTCACCTCTCATTTCCTTTTCTCACTTGAAGAGACCACGGCCCTAGCTGGACTCACCTGTGCCTAATTTGTGTCTACACCAATGCGATTAAATGCAGCTGGAGAAAAATAGACATTGACACTGACCAATCTTACTCTAAATTTATGACTATAGATCTCAAACGGCCTTTAACAGTTCCTGGTAATCATGTTATATATTCTTATTTCATTCACTCTTCCCCTATCTATTGCATTTCATTGTCTATTTCCAAACTTGAAACACATCTTTCTCTAGCCTCACTCTCAACTAAAAAGCTGGATTTCTACTTCCTTGGGAAAACTGAAACAATCAGGAAGGAACCCCACAATTTCCTGTCATGCTGTGAACCTACCTACCAGTACCTGCACCCACGGGTGCTGCATTTTGGCTTTCACTTCAGGGGAAGGCTCCATGCATTTTTCTAAAACGGATCTCTCCACTAGGTGCTAGATCACTTTCTTGACTCCATCCGTTCTTTTCTCTCTTTTCTACCTTATTATTGTTTCACTCTCCATTTGATAATACAAATTTGTTATTATTTCTCCATCTTGGAACAGAAATTACTCCCCTTGACCCTATTGTCTCCATCATCTCTCATTTCTCTGTTCCCCTTTGTAAAAAGACTCTTTGGAACAGTCTTTCCAAACTCTTTCTTCTTGCTGACTCTAACTCCCCTCCTCCCATGCTTACTGCAACCCAGCTCATCAGGATTTCGCACCTGTCCTCCATGGAGACTGTTCCTACTAAGTCCCACAATGACCCTTCCCAAGGTTCTAAATCTAATAGTCAATTATCAATCCTCAATCTACTTGATTTCATAGAAATGTTTGACATAATTTAGCACTCACTTATTCTTGGTCCATTTCTTCACTTGGCTACCAGGACACCACTCTTACTTTTCCTCCTATATGGTTGCAGTTCTCAGTTACCTTTGCTATATTCTTCTTTTTCCTTCTACTTCTTAACGTTGAAGTGCTCTAGGACTCAGTCCTTGGTTCTCTCTTTTCTCTCTTCATTCATTAGTGATCTCATTTATTAGAAGAGATAATGGTACAGTTCGAATGTGTTGCCTTCAAAATTCAGGTGTTGCCAATGATAGTATTAGAAGGTGGGGCCTTTAAGAGGTGAAAGCTCATTAGTGCTACTCCCTGGTGAGTGGGATTAAGGTCTTTATAAAAGAAGCTTCATGCAGTAGTTAGTTGGCTTGGCTCTTCCACTCTTCCGGCCAGTGAGGTCACAATCTTCATTCCTTTTGGCTTTCTAACATGTGAAGATTCGGCAAGAAGGCCCTCACCAGATGCTGGCACCTTGATCTTAATTGGGAGTCTTCAGAACTGTGAGAAATAATTTTCTATTTCTATTTTTTTTATTATACTTTAAGTTTTAGGGTACATGTGCACGACGTGCAGGTTTGTTACATATGTATACATGTGCCATGTTGGTGTGCTGCATCCATTAACTCGTCATTTAGCATTAGGTGTATCTCCTAATGCTATCCCCCCCCCGCCTCCCCACCC
The DNA here is from genome assembly GCF_000001405.40 of Homo sapiens. Lineage (NCBI taxonomy): Eukaryota > Metazoa > Chordata > Mammalia > Primates > Hominidae > Homo > Homo sapiens. The sequence continues at coordinate 9,589,675 of NC_000006.12, read as the reverse complement.
CACGACAGACCCCAGTGTGTGATGTTCCCCTTCCTGTGTCCATGTGTTCTCATTGTTCAATTCCCACCTATGAGTGAGAACATGCGGTGTTTGGTTTTTTGTCCTTGTGATAGTTTGCTGAGAATGATGGTTTCCAGCTTCATCCATGTCCCTACAAAGGACATGAACTCATCCTTTTTTATGGCTGCATACTATTCTATGGTGTATATGTGCCACATTTTCTTAATCCAGTCTATCATTGTTGGACATTTGGCTTGGTTCCAAGTCAGCTATTGTGAATAGTGCTGCAATAAACATACGTGTGCATGTGTCTTTATAGCAGCATGATTTATAATCCTTTGGGTATATACCCAGTAATGGGATGGCTGGGTCAAATGGTATTTCTAGTTCTAGATCCCTGAGGAATCGCCACACTGACTTCCACAATGGTTGAACTAGTTTACAGTCCCACCAACAGTGTAAAAGTGTTCCTATTTCTCTACATCCTCTCCAGCACCTGTTGTTTCCTGACTTTTTAATGATCGCCATTCTAACTGGTGTGAGATGGTATCTCATTGTGGTTTTGATTTGCATTTCTCTGATGGCCAGTGATGATGAGCATTTTTTCATGTGTCTTTTGGCTGCATAAATGTCTTCTTTTGAGAAGTGTCTGTTCATCTCCTTCGCCTACTTTTTGATAGGGTTGTTTGTTTTTTCTTGTAAATTTATTTGAGTTCATTGTAGATTCTGGATATTAGCCCTTTGTCAGATGAGTAGATTGCCAAATTTTCTCTCATTCTGTAGGTTGCCTTTTCACTCTGATGGTAGTTTCTTTTGTTGTGCAGAAGCTCTTTAGTCGAATGAGATCCCATTTGTCAATTTTGGCTTTTGTTGCCATTGCTTTTGGTGTTTTAGACATGAAGTCCTTGCCCATGCCTATGTCCTGAATGGTGTTGCCTAGGTTTTCTTCTAGAGTTTTTATGGTTTTAGGTCTAACATTTAAGTCTTTAATCCATCTTGAATTAATTTTTGTATAAGGTGTAAGGAAGGGATCCAGTTTCAGCTTTCTACATATGGCTAGCCAGTTTTCCCAGCACCATTTATTAAATAGGGAATCCTTTCCCCATTGCTTGTTTTTGTCAGGTTTGTCAAAGATCAGATGGTTATAGATGTGTGGTATTATTTCTGAGGGCTCTGTTCTGTTCCATTGGTCTATATCTCTGTTTTGGTACCAGTACTGTGCTGTTTTGGTTACTGTAGCCTTGTAGTATAGTTTGAAGTCTCAGTGGGTTCATCAACGTGATTCCTCATTTTTGGAGTCATTTTAAGTATCAAAAATACCACAATCTCTTTTGGGTTAGATTAATGGCTCTTTCCAGCAGTGCAACTATCTCAAAACCTTAGGCAACTTTTTATTTATCTGATTTGTCAGCTGAATATGCCAATGGTTCTTATAGTTCTTTTTAGACATGACTTAATTGCAGGTGCCCTGAGCTTATTAAGCATTGATGGCAGAGATTTTTTTTCCTAAGCCTTTTTCTGTTAAATTAACTCGGTAATATCATAACCCATTCAGAGGTAGTAGTAACAATGAGAATACCACTGATTTGTTTCTCACCAGAAGGCTTTCTTTCCTCACAGGCATTCTCAAGTTTATTTTGTATTGGTAGGTGGTAAAAAGCAATAACCTCTTCCAACCTTACAACTCTTAACATTTTTCCACTCCCTTTATCCCATTTCATTTCTGCTTGCCAATCAGCAAATTTCTTTTAAGCTCATCTATTTTTGGAGTACACTGTGAAATGCAGCCTACTAGTCATAGTTTGCTGAATGCTTGCTAGTACATAGCATTGTTTTTGACACAGTTTAATAATTGATTTGGAAATATATCTGTAATGTGTTTTAAATAAACTAGCTAGATTATTATTCAAAATCTAAATATATATTTATAAAAGTTTCTCTACCTGCATGCAGACATATGTATAGATTTGCATTAAAATAATGGAGAAATAGGTACTGAAGTGTTAACTCAGGTTATCTGTTGGTATTTAAGGTGATTTTCTTTTCTGTGTATCTACATCTTTTAATACTTTTACAATAACCATATAGTACATAAATACGCAACTACATTCTATTTTTCCCACCTCTCCCACATCCTACAATATAGCCTCATTAGATACATTATTCACCTTCCAAGTTAGTGCTGAAAACAGTTGCTGGCTTAAAAGAAAACTTATTTCTTGTGCTTGCTATACATCCATCAGAAGTCCCCTTAGACTACACAGTGTTGTCTTCATTTCACTCTGTGCCCAGATTGATAAAGTAACCACTTTCTAGGATACCCCCAGTTGTCATAGCAGAAGAAAAAAAAAGCAATAGGGGGCAGCATGACTGGCTCTTAATATTTCCAGGTAGGACTTACCTTCCACTGACACAATCAAAGTAGGTTAAATGGTCGCAAAAAGGTGGAGTGCAGTCAAGGTGACAGGTCCAGACACCAACAACTGTACTGATTCCAGCAGCTCCTTTCTGCCTCTGCTATCAAACATTCAGAAACTCTACTGGGTATGCTTTGAAAATAAATCCATAATCTGGCAACTTGTCACCCTGTTCTCTGCTGCAACCCAAACGTGAGCCAATATTATTGCTCTCTTGGACTTCTGTGAGAGTTTTCTTATTGGTTTCTTTGCCTTTGTCCTCACCCCACATTGACTTATTCTCAATGCATTAACTAATCCCTCAAAAATAAGTCAGAGCATGGGACTTTGTTGCTCAAACTCTGCATTAGTTTAGCATAAAAGGCAAAGTTTTCACAGGGACCTCAAGTCACAGTCAATCCACCCAGCCATTACCTCTTCCTTTCACATTCATGGATGTATTTGCCTTTATTCATACTGCTCTATCATCCTGGCTTTTTCCTATTTCCCAGACATACCTGTTCTTTCTGCCCGGCAGACCACTCCATGCTTTCTGTTCCAGCTGAGATCCACACAGCTAAGCGCTCCCAGAGGTCCACTTAGCTAGCTTCTCTTTAGCACCCTTGTGCAAATGGCACCTTCTCATTGGAAACTGCCACTGACCTCTCTATTCAAAAATTACGTCTCACTCTACCCCCTCCATAGAGGTCCCTCTAAATCTGATCAACCTTTTCTTTTAATAGTCTCACAGCCCTTAAGTCTTGTATTATTTCTTCTGAAGATCAATTTAACTCTTCCTACTTACCGTAATTTTAGTCTTTCACCCATGCACAGCCCAGCCACTGGAGAACCAAGCACTTACACGCCTTTTAAAAGCATCACCAAAAATTCTCCTGAGGAGAAATTCTTATATCAGCAGCTAGAAAAGATAAGTACAGGCAAAAGAGAAGCAAAAAGCAAAACAAAACGACAATAAAAACATCACCTACTTCATAGGAATTAGAGGCAAGCATTTAATAAATACTCTTAGAACCAACTCTGAGTTAGGACAGTATGAGTAGCCCCTGGAAAGCTGTATTTTTTAAAAGCACTAAATGTAATTCTGACAAACTTAAAGGCATCCACTAATATAGATAAGATGAATAATACAAAAAAATAGTATAATTTATGTAGAGGGATGTTCATGTCAAATTCTCATTTCTTGGTGCTACTGGTGCATTTATAAGAATATATCACACATTAGGGCTCTTACCCAAAGAAAAATCACCAATTGTACAAAATAGAAGTTGTACAATACATATTCAGATAATAATGCACAAAAACAATTAAGAAATTATGAAAGTTTATATTAACAGAACGCCTGTGTGAGAAACTTTTTAAATTACTTGTGGGCCAAAGAGGAAATAAAAATTGCAATCATAAGCTATTAAGAAATTAATGATAATGAAGCAATTAGAATGCTATTTATGAAAACTTATGAGATGTGGCCAATGCTGTAATATATTTATTATTTAAAAACAAAAGTCAAGAATTTAGGGAAAAAAAATAAAAAAATAAACCTTCAAAAGCTGAAAATCGACTGAAAAATAAGGATATAAATTAATATTTATGATTTTTAAATTGATAGAACAATATTGATTTTTTTCTCCTGGTAAGATTGACAAAGAAAAATGTTGCAAACATATAGCATTAGGAATCAGAAGTGGAATATGACCACAGATAAAGAAGAGGTTAAAATATAAGGCATTTTTATGTTAAGACCCAGAAGTGCTATATCAATTCCACCCACGTCTCACTGGCCAGGGCTCAGTCATATGGTCCCAAACATGGGGTGCAGCAGGAATATAGTCTCCCTAAAAAGAAACGGTTTATTGTGGTGGTCTATATTTGTTTCTGTAAATGGCCAAATAATATTTTAGATTTTACAAGAGTTACGGGCCTGTCACAACTCCTCCACTCTCTTGTTATAGCACAAAAGGCCAGACAACATGTAAAGGAATGGGCATAGCTGTGTTCTGATAAAACTTTATTACCATGTGGCGAGCTGGATTTAGCCTACTAGTCATAGTTTGCTGAATGCTTGCTAGTACGTAGCATTGTTTTTGACACAGTTTAATAATTGACTTGGAAATATATCTGTAATGTGTTTTAAATAAACTAGGTGGATTATTCAAAATCTAAATATATATTTATAAAAGTTTCTCTACATGCATGCAGACATATGTATAAATTTGCATTAAAATGATGGAGAAATAGATACTAAAGTGTTAACTCAGGTTATCTGTTGGTATTTAAGGTGATTTTCTTTTCTGTGTATCTACATCTTTTAATACTTTTACAATAACCATATAGTACATAAATAATAAATGAAAGAGAAAGAGTGAAGAAGCACTTTGCAAACAAAATTTTAAATGTATTTAAAAACTGCATTAATTATTAAAATACTTTATGGGCACAGACATAAGTAGACAAACCAGTTGAACTGAATAGAAAGCCTAAAACAAAGCATAAGCAAAATATAAGAATTTAATGTTTTGGAAAAAGCTGTCTGTATAAATACATATGATAATATACATTAAAAAAATGCCCAGCACACAATGATTGTTGAATAAATATTTATTCAAAGAATACATTGGGTTATTGATTAAATATTGATTAATTCAAATATTTTTACTCAGGATATTATGTCAAATTTTTTGAAGGCATGATGATTGCATTTTATGTAGAGACTTTTTAGTTGTCTATATAGTCAAATATATCAACTTTTCATCCATCTTGGCCATTTATCTACACTGAAAATGTTTTCCCTCATGAAATGAAGTCATATTCTTTCCCCACTATTCCATGGTTCTATTTTTTAGAATTAACACCCTAATTCCTGCAGAATTTACCTTATGGAGGAAAGATGCAGCCTCATTTTCTTTTCACCTAGCCAGTTCTCCCCAGACCATTAATTCTGTAACTTTCCTTCTCAACCAAACTGAAATAAAAGAGAATTTAATCTTGCCCCAACTACCCGAAACAACTTCCAGGGCTGCCCTCTATGGGTTTATGACAATAAAAACTCTAACCCCTCAGGTCAGATAATCAGATGTATGATAATTAACTGTATGAGTAATTATTGTGTTATGCAAATAAACAATGCAGATGAGTCATTTCATTAAGCAAGCACCATGGGTTCATTAGGTTTTGATCTCTGTCCTAGTCTTTTGGGGAAAAATACCTTCTATGAACTGTTCTTCTGAACTGGCAATAAAACATCACTGGTAGGTTCACATTAAGCTGGATAATATGCAGACTGCTTGATTTGTATTGAATATGTGTCTGGTGGTTGGGGCCCACTGTAATGAACTAGCCCACAAATCACAGCTTAATGGGAATCTACTTTTACATATTGCTTAATTAAAAGTTGTGAGCTTATTAACATGTGTCTTTGGCACTGAGCTTTGGGGATGTAATCTCTGTGCAAATAAGACTAGGTTGTAAAAGTTTTATAGATTGGCGATGATATTATAGTCCATACCTTAATAACCCATCATTTCCCCAAAGAATTTTTTATATCTTACATTCTTCTACCCAGTTGTAACAGATTCTTTTCTTTTTGTTTTCAATGTGAATGAGTCCTATAACATATACTGGTATCAAAAAAGGGTTATATCTTAAATTGTTCATCTGAATTTTTTATCATTTAATCTTACTACCAAAGGTATGCAGAAGAAAATTTCAGAGCTCCTTTCATTAAAGGGGCTCCAGGTAGTATAGATCTATTAGATATGGTTTTCTAGAATTTCCATTATAAATCTCTATTTTCAGGGATTTATAATTCAGCTGTAAAAATGTTGCCCTAGGCTTCAACTTGGAATACAAGGTCTTAGCCTGAGAGAGTACATTGTTAACACATGAAAAAAAAAAATCATGTTGTTTTCATCTTACCAAAGTGAAAAAGTAATGGCATGTAACCGTTTTCAAATACTTTCTGGTATGCCACTGTAAGATGATGTTTGGAGTTTTTTGTTTCTGTTTTGTCTTGACATGACGTTTTACGATATGTTTGTAATTTTAACCAAGCCATTTGGTCGCTTTTTTAAAATCTCAAAATAAAAGATGTCTTCTGTGTGCCTCACACTACAGTTCCTGGACTGGACATCTCTGATTTTCATTGGTGGAGACTTTGACACAGAACGTTTCTGGAGTCTTCGCATTGAAGCTCCTCAGTTTACTAACTCCCATCAATATTTGGAGTGAGCAAAAGTTTTATTGTTCTAAAGAATTGAACCCTATTGTTGTTTTAAGAAATGGGTAGGCCTATTTTAATTAAAAATTCAAGTTGATATCTCAGGATAACAAAGTATCAGTGACCTTTGTCTGATGGAAATAGCTGTGGGAGAGGATCTTGGCCCAAGCTCTGTTATTAAATGGCTGTGACCTTGCAAGAATTTACTTGAATGATCTGAACCTGGTTCTACATTCATCAAAAGAGTCTGAAGATAAAACAATCTCCAGTATTCCTTTAGAGTTTGAAATTTTCATATAGCTGCTATTGAGCCATACCTTGCTAAATTCACCAGTGACTTCCATGTCACTAAATCCGATAAACACCTTAGTCTTCAATTTAATCTCACCACAGCATTCTGAACAGATGACCATCCACCATTTGCAGACACATTGGCTTCTAAATTACTTTAACATCAGGTATTCAAGATTCTTCTTTTTTCTCTGTACCCCTCTGCTGTTTCTTTCCCATGTCAACTCAGTCATTAAATGTCAAAGTTCACGAGACTTGGTTTGGTGGACTCTCCTTTTGCTGCTCTATGCAAACTCCCTAAGGGACCTTGTCCTTCCCAGTTACTTCAAATGCCATCCATGTACCTTCTCTCAAATGTTTACTTGGGGCCCAGATCATTCTTTTAACCCCAGATCTTTTAAAGCCAAATGTTCACAAAGTACATCCTCTTGAATGAATACCTCATTGTAATTCATGGGTTCTGACCTCCTGCTCCAAAGCTGCCTTTCCCCTTCCCTGCTAAGTATATGGTTCTACCCTCTATCCATTTATTCAGTCTTTGGCTTCATCCTTACAGCATTTCTTCTTCTCTGCACTATAAACCATGTCAATGTTTCAAATGTTCAAATGAGTTTCATTTTATTACTAATGTCGATTCCTCAGTTTAGGCCATTAATATCCTCCTTGGTGATGAATCCAATTTCTTCTCTCCTTTTCTGCCTCTCCTCTTGCCCTACTCAATTCAGTTTCTAACTTGCCTCCAGAATGACACTTAAAAAAAAAAAAGAAAAGAATTCTAATCTTGACACCAGCCAGCTAAACATCATTCAACAGCCGTGATATTACATTTAAGCTAAGATCTCAAATCCCTCCTACACAAAGCACACCATGATCTAGGTCTCCAGCTTCATTCCTCATGCTATTGCCAGTGACTCCCTCTGCTCTAGTCCTCTGTGGTTCTTACAATTTTTTCAAGAACATCTTTGCCTTTCCTGCCTCAGGCCCTGACATTCCATTCCTTCCACCTGCAGTAGTCTCTTTGATCTCCTGTCCTTCTCCCAGGTTGCCCTCCTCATTCTTGGTGGTGGAAGAATGGGGAAGGGGATCCTTGGGATGGGCTGTCTATGTCTAACTGAACACCCCTCTCCTTCTGTAGGCTCTAAGCCTCATGAGAGCAGCATCCTCTTCTGTTTTTCAGGAATCTGACCCCAGCTCCACCTGGTGCCTGGCACATGGCAGGTGCTTTATGAAAACTTACTCTCTGAGACTGTAGAGATTGAAGTCCAGCAAAAGACACAGGCCAGGTCTAGGTCCCACCAATGTCTGAGACTCTGTGATCAGCAGGAATTACACATTCCACTTACTATTGTCTGAAGCTATTATGTCATTTTGTTCCACAGGATGGTAAAAACAATTAAGCAATTAAGCAGCAGCTGCTGGGTCCAACATGATCTGGGCCCTTGGTTTATAACAACCAGAGTGCAGGAGCAGGACTTGCTCAAGGCTGTCAGGCAGCTCACAGTGGATATTGGAGACCAGGCTGGCCTTGCAGTGCTGAAGTTTCCATTCACTAGTGACTGTGTTTCAGACACCTTCTCTCCCCAGATTCCTCTTCTCTCCTTTAGTTTATTTTGTTCTGATTGTTTACATATTGCTAGGGCCATTTATTTCGGTAGAAATATCTGAGTAGAAAAATCTTATTAAAAAGTTACATTTTAGCAACTTTATATATTACACCTTTCTATAGTGATTATGTTTTATAAAGAAAAACATGAAAGGCTACAGTTTGACAAAATGAAAAGTTCTCTAATGGTGGAATTTTGAGCCTTGCAGTTTCAATGGGACAGAGATTCCAAGGTCATGGTAGCCTTCTTTGAACTGCTCGAGTCACACCAGAGGATAAGACAGAATTGGCATCAGTTTCTCCTTCTTAATCAAGAGCTTCCACACCATTAGAAAATGTGCTATGCTCAGAGCCTTGCAGGGAGCAAAGCCTCTCACCTTCTTGGCTCCATTTAGGCCCTCTTCCAAGGTTTCAGGGCTGAATTTAAATCAAGGTACATATGTCATGGACTATGGCATGGAAAATACCAATAGACCATGAGAGCTGAAAAATACTTCTCTTTTCTACACAGAAACATAAATGATATCATTAAAAGTGTTCTAATCCATACCTCATGCAGACTTGGCCAATATAAATATTATGTAGGGGACGGGGCTCCACAAAAGAAATGTCAACTAAAAATAAATGACCCTTGAGTTCCTTTCTAACCCTGGGATTCCATTAATCTAACATTTCCTTTCATAGCACACAGATAACATTTCTCCTTCAAGAGAAGATTCATTTAGTACCTATGCCATTGCAAGGAGTTAATATGACTGATTCGATTGACCCGAACAAAGGCAAATGCTGTAGGATGACCTGGAAGACCATGATCATTGAAGCATGGTGCCTTAAAAAGATTGCCAAGGAAGTGTGACTGGTCCCTAGACCAGGTGACTGACTACCTGGAAATCCATTCACATCTGAAAATCATTTCAGTTCAGTTTCTTTTTCAATAGGTCCCCCTTAAATGAGGCAAGGAATGCTGGCAAATGAGCAGTAAAGACTTTATTCTAACATCTCAGGCCAGGTTTCTTTTTTTTTCCAGTGGTACACATCAAGCTTAACAGGAAAGCCACGCTTTTCATGATGGTAAAAGAAAACACCTTCTATGTTAGTAAAAAGGCTTGGCAAAGTGACAGTCACTTTGCTGCCCATCGGGGGCTGTTAGCTTGTCACTGTTTCCACTTATGTTAATCTTGATGTCTTTGAAGAAAAATAATTTAGAAGAATTGTTTCAAATGCACTCCTAGTGTGAAATGATGAGAAATGCTGAACAGGCTTAATCTTTATTACACTAACTTCATTTAACAATTCTGCTCTAAAACTGATTGGACCCCATGGGTCACATCAACTAATACCCTGACTATACGTATTTTGGTCCATCATTTAAATAGTTATAAGCAACATACTACATTCCAAGAATTGCAATGTGAAATTACAAATATGTGTAAGGCAGGATTTCTACTTTCAAGTAGTTAGAATCATTTGAGGAGTCAAGATATGTGAAAAAAATGCAATACATATCTGTTGAATAGCAGTTATAAATTAATGCACCTAAATTCTAATGGCTGTCAGTTGACCAACTGATCAGTGAGGCATACATAGAAATGTTTTCTTTGGTGCTGATTTCATGGACATAGCAAAACAGAAAACAATCTAGTGTAATGACCTGGTAAATTTGGTATTGGATAAGACTATATCAAGATCGATGAAATAATGCAGAGTTCTCTTCCCATGTCTTTTGGCTTTCTGCCCTTCATTCACACTATGACCAAGTCCAGATTGGTTTTGAGTAGGCTCAAATTTACTCAATAATTCTTATAGTGCTGACCATACTTTAGGCACAGTTTCAAGTAAGCAGATTTTAAATTAAATACTTTTTGATCTTGGAGAGTTACTCGGTTTACCTTGCAAGCAGAAGTAGAGAAGAATGCACTACCTGTAGCTAGTAGAGGGGATAGCACGCTGTCACTGTGAGGCAGGGGATCACTGCAGAGCTGTGGCCACTATTACTAGAGGGCTTGGCTTAGGGACCTAGGGAGGGCAGATCCATCAAATACTTATATTACACAAATCCTTCTCACTGCTTGCATGTATCTCAACACCATGCAGGGTATCTTGTGAATGCATAATGAAAATTAGGTCTGAAATGTATTTGGAAACTTCCCTGAAGACCCATCCCCAGGGATGCTATTGTCGAAACACATATGCCAAAGTGTGCTTGGAATGCTTATTAAGAAGGCACTCCTCCAGCCTATTGGCATGCACGCTGGGAAGCATGTGCTTCTGTTACTATCACTTCATGCATTTCTTTTTCTACTTCCCTCTTTCCTTTCCATTCCATGCTTCTTAGCCAAAGCCCCCTTTCAAAACATGAAGCTTAACAATTTCTCAAATGTTTTAGAATATATGTATCCAATTATAATATGAAGAAAATATTTCTAAGACTTTAAAAAGAGAATTCTCCAAAAAGGTCATATTTTATATGATGAACCTGTTTAACTTAGGTTTACCAATTTGATTGTTGTTTTGAGGTATGGCATCACTGTCTTTTCACCTGGTTTTTTAATATATGAAATTTTATGTGTGTGTGTGTGTGTGGTTTTTTTTTTGTTTTTTTTTTTTTTTGAGACAGGGTCTCTTTCTGTTGCCCAGGTTGGTAAGGGCTCATTGCAACCTCAAACTCCTGGGCTCAAGCAATCCCCTCACCTCAGCCTCCTGGGTAGCTGGGACCACAGGCATGCACCACTATGCCTGGCTAATTTTTTGTATTTTTAACAGAGATGAGGTTTCACCATGTTGTCCAGGCTTGTTTTGAACTCCTGGGCTCAAATGATCTGCTCACCTGGGCCTCCCAATGTGGTGGGATTACAGACGTGGGCCACGGTGCCTGGTCTTACATGCTTTTTATTCCAGTCAGGGACACCGCATAAATACATTTTTGATTAATTGATATTTATATGAAATATTCATATTTTAATGGAATCTGTAGTTGTTCTTCAGGGAGAAATCAGCATTTTTTATGTGAAATTAGGTGTACACTGCTTCATCAAGGCTTTTTCAATTTAATTTACTCACAATAAGTATTCATGTGGGTTCACTTTCCAGAGGCCCTTTGTTTCATTATAGCTAATAATTTTTGATGCGGTTATAGCTAATTATAAAAAAAAAACTAATGAGGCCTCTCATGTCATGGTAGGATAACTATTTCTGTTAAATAACTGTACTCTTGTTGGCATGGTATTTTCAGGAAATATCACAAAATATTTAACGTGTTTAAAAATATAAAAAGTATATAGCTTTTAACAGGGTAAACTCCAGTCTATTTAATCCTGTTTTTAACTTTAATATTTACTGTGTACAACATTTCTTCCAGTTAAATATGCAATGGAAAATATATATCTGTGAATACTCTGTCACTTTAAGTAATTATGAGTTTTCAATGTATATCACAGATGAAATGTTATGGCTGAATCACCTGTATCACTACCTAAAGATGTAGAGGCATATCCAGAATGCTATTTTTTTGGTGGGGGCAGTGATGGAGCCTCACTCTGTTGCCAGGCTTGAGTGCAGTGGCATGATCTTGGCTCACTGCAATCTCCGCCTCTCAGGTTCAAGCGATTCCCCTGTCTCAGCCTCCAGAGTAGCTGGGGCTACAGGCGCGTGCCACCATGCCCACCTAATTTTTTGTATTTTAGTAGAGACGGGGTTTCACCATGTTGGCCAGGGTGGTCTTGATCTCCTAACCTCGTAATCTGCCCACCTCGCCTCCCAAATTGCTAAGATTACAGGTTCGAGCCACTGTGCCTGGCCCAGAATGCTTTTTAAAAAGGCAATAGCCATGAACAATTACTCATTATTGTTTTTTCTGTATACTTGAATAGCAGTATTTTCTTATTTTTAAAGTTTGTATACATTTGCCCACAGAGATAAGAAATTAAAGTAAGATTAAATATAATGTGAAACCTTATGGAAATCAAATTATAGAGCTAATATATTGTGCTACTACCATTAGTAATGGCTGAGATATACTTAGTTACCTTGTGTGTGTATGGCCTAGCTAAATCCTTAAATATGCCAATGACATTGGTGCTATTAGCTTTACTATATTTACCAACAAGGAAGCTGAGACTTAGAATGAAGTGACCTGCCCAAGTTCACAGGATGAACTTGGGGGGCAGTATTATGAGTTGAATTGTGTCCCACCAAAATTTATATGTGGAAGTCCTAACCCTTAGTACCTCAGAATATGACTCTTTGGAAATAGGGTCATTGCAGATGTAACTTGTTAAAATGGGTTACAGTGTAGTAGGAAAGGCTCTTACTCTAAGAGGACTGGTGTCCTTATAAAAAGAGGAAAATTCAGAGACACGCGTGCAGGGAGAACACCCTGTGAACCTGAAAGCGGAGTTTCTACAAGCCAAGGAATGCCAAGCATTGCAGCAAACTGCCAGAGGCTATGAGAAAAGGATGACAGATTCTCTCGTGGCCCTCTGATGACAGAAGAAGCCTACTGTCAACATCTTCATCCTGGACTCCTGGACTCCAAAATTGTGAGATAATTTCTGCTGCTTATGCCACTCAGTTGGTGGCATTTTGTTATGACAGCCCCAGCAAACTAATATGGGCAGCCAAGACTCACAGCACAAGCTGAGTTGGCATCAGGACACTCACTGCTTCTCTCACAAGTGACTGACTGCTGCTGATACCTGGACCACCCCACTCCGTTCAATCCCTCTTCTAACAGAAATTTAGCTCAGTACCTATGGTGGTCTAAATCACTGGTTGCAAACCTCTGTCGGATTAATGATGGTATTCTTCCAGGGGAAGTATATAAATTTCTTGCTTATGAAAAATAAACATAATTTTTAGTTCAAACATTTATTGAGAATGTATATTTTAATGATAAATGGTTTATGTTAGCATTTTAAGTAGTGTTTTCCCTTAATATTTTTTCAAGGACATTTTTTGATATTTCATAAAAAAATTTATTTACCCCAAATTAAATCCTAAGCAAGATAGTGAAGGAAATCTTCTCTGAAATACTGAGTAAAATGAGTTGACTACAAAATAGAATGCATGTCTTACTTAAGAAGAGATTGAGCGTTTAGGGTAATTATGGATAGCAATCTTCCAATTCATGTATGGTTACCTACTGCTAAATTGCAAAAAGTAAGCTTGGCATGGCTCAGTTGACAATGAATAATATTATCATATTGAAATTCAAAACCTATTAAAAGTTTCTAAAGATTCTGAGCTTGACTGTTAGAAATGGTAATGGTGGGGGATTTGGGTCATAATTTTCCATGGTATGACTTTAGTAAGGAAGTTCTCAGAAGCAGTTTCCAGGTGATGGTTAAGTCTAATTCTCTTAGATTTATAGCACCAGAACCATTAACGACTACAACAGACTGTAGGTACTCGACTAACAGTCAGGAACTTAATAATTCTTCCTCAAGTAAGTAACCTGATTAAACATCTCAAATGTTTTGCCATCAAAACCATTTGGAGCCTGTTATGATTAATGGGCCACATTTCTTGCCAAATGTTGATTTAGAGCAATTCTCAATATAGTTCTTTCTGGATGAATTGAAAACATAACCTACCAATGGCAATGCTGTAATCCTTTCTTCAACCTTTAGAAAATAGTTTATGGGATGACAATTGAAAGTTTATGCTGCAAACTGCTAAAATAACTTACATGTTTTGGATCATTTTAATGATTCCGTTAATTACTACAATTCTCTTTATCTCCTTTATTGCAAACTCTTCAAAAACAAGTTAAGCCTCTCTAAAGTTTTCATTGCCTTGTCACTGACTTTTGGCTCTGTGGATAGAAGTCTTCAATAGACGGAGCTATTTTGGCTCAACAAAAGTGCGTCCTCATGTTGATAACCACCCACACTTTGTAATTTTAGTCTTCCTTATTCACCAAAGTGAACAGGAATACTTTCCTTAAAAATCACACAGTAATCTCAGCCAGTTTAAAATGTTGATGCTTATCCCTCTTCCCGTGAATTTATCTGCTCACTACTCAAACCCACTTTAAGCTGAATACTTGCCATAGAAATTATTTTAGGTTTCCATTAGGAATGGGCACCAATAAGTCCACATCTCTAAATCATCCTTCTTGCAGCTCTCTGTGAAAATAATTTGGAGGTAGAAATGTGGGAAAGCCGGGCGCGGTGACTCACATCTGTAATCCCAGCACTTTGGGAGGCCATAGCAGGTAGATCACTTGAGGTCAGGAGTTCAAGACCAGCCTGGCCAACATGGTGAAATCCCGTCTCTGCTAAAAATACAAAAAAATTATCCAGATATTGTGGCGTGTGCCTGTAATCCCAGCTACTCAGGAGGCTGAGGCAGGGGAATTGCTTGAACCTGGGGGGCAGAGGTTGCAGTGAGCCGAGATTGCACCACTGCACTCCAGCCTGGGCAACAGAGCAAGACTCCATCTCAAAAAAAAAAAAAAAAAAAGAATAAAAAAGAAATGTGGAAAAAGGCTTATGTCAGCACTTATACCTGCTAAGGTAACAGCCCATGCTGACAACTTAGAGGAATTCCTGTAAAAATATAATGGGGTGAGGCAAGGAGGAAAGGACTAGGAAGTCCTTTAACTCACAGAGCTGAAGGTAAAAATGGTTCTGGACCATGTTTAGCTTCCTTCTCTACCTCATAGATGTGCAGAAGACAACAGCGGCACAGCCATGCCAAAGATCTCAGCGTCACTCTGGACGGAAAGCCATGCTAATGGGCAATGGAGTCGTTACTACAGCTGTCTCATAAGAGGGAAAGGTTGAGTCATGCAAGGAACACAGGCCTTCTCCTGGGTAGCTTCTGGCTGCCTTGTCACATATGACAAAGACACTTGCATAACTGCAGCTTCCTAGGCTGCAAATGACTATGGCTCCTGCCACTCCCAGCGGTTCCTGAATGTGTTAGTAGGCCCAGGTCTGCTATAGGGAAACATTGGTTTAGTGTCATTTAAAATGTTCCTAGAAGGTTAGAGCAGAGATTCTCTAACTCTGAGATAGCCCATTTTATCTCCCATGAAGTACATAACACAGGTCTTTCTACATATGCGTGATAATATGAGAAACAGCACCAAGCATTTGGGAGGCACTACAGTCCTAATGAAGAGGACTTCAGCTGATGAATAAAAGGAATTGATTTCTAAGAAACAGTTATTGCCAGAAAAGAAGAAAATCAATATATTACTTCTATAATACAAAAACAGGCAACCATAAAGATCGAAAAACTTAAGGTGTAAACATCATTTACAATTTAAATTTTTCTTTTTTTTTTTTTGAGACAGGGTCTTATCTCGGCTCACTGCAACCTCCGCCTCCAGGTTCAAGCGATTCTCCTGCCTCAGCCTCCTCAGTAGCTGTGATTACAGGTGCCCGCCACCATGCCTGGTTAATTTTTGTATTTTTAGTAGAGATGGAGTTTCACCATATTGGCCAGGCTGGTCTTGAACTCCTGACCTCAAGTGATGCACCCACCTCGGCCTTCCAAAGTGCTGGGATTACAGGTTTGAGCCACCGTGCCTGGCCCCAATTTAAATATTTATAATGGAGACAATAAACAACACTTTGAATACTGCTGAAATCTGAAGTGGTAAAGTGAAAGACAAAATTAAGTGATTATCTCAGAAATTACAGGAAAAGGGAAAAAGGGATGAACAGATTAAAGAAATGTTAGGAAACATGAAAATACCATAGATAGGATCTAACAGAGAGGTGAAAAAGAAACCCCAATGAAAATAACACAGGCTTGGAGAGCAGTCAATCCAGAGGTGAACTGAAGTAAGGAGATTCCAATGAGAAACACCCAATTTTTAAAAAGTAACACTGAAAAAACTTCCAATCTTTAAATGTACCTGAATGAGATTTAGTTACTCAAAGAGTAACTAAAGATGGATAAGTGGTAGAGACATAGAGGAATATAAAGGAAAAGACCATATTGCCTCCTCTGAAATGAAAAAGTTTTACACAAAAAGGTAATTATAATATATTGATTCACTGCAGGACACTGTACTATGTATAATATGTACAATGTTATACTAATGTAAGTGATAAATACTGACCTAACAACATATACAAAAATGTATATTTCAATTGCTTTAAGAGTCAGAGGAGAGAGGGAAAATGTATGTATTTGTATGTGTATGGCCGTAAAAAGCCTGATCTTTTTTTAAATAAAAAGAAATAATAGATAATAGCTAAAACCTTTTTTTTATATATACTTTTAAGTTCTAGGGTACATGTGCACAATGTGCAGGTTTGTTAAATAGGTATACATGTGCTATGTTGGTGTGCTGCACCCATTAACTCATCATTTATATTAGGTATTTCTCCTAATGCCATCCCTCCCCCATCCCCCCACCCCATGACAGGCCCCAGTGTGTGATGTTCCCTGCCCTGTGTCCAAGTGTTCTCATTGTTCAATTCCCATCTGTGAGTGAGAACGTGCGGTATTTGGTTTTCTGTCCTTGTGATAGTTTGCTCAGAATTATGGTTTCCAGCTTCATCCATGTCCCTACAAAGGACATGAACTCATCCTTTTTTATGGCTGCATAGTATTCCATGGTGTATATGTGCCACATTTTCTTAATCCAGTTTATCATTGATGGACATTTGGGTTGGTTCCAAGTCTTTGCTATTGTGAATAGCATCACAATAAACATACGTGAGCATCTGTCTTTATAGTAGCATGATTTATAATCATTTGGGTATATATCCAGTAATGCGATCACTGGGTCAAACGGCATTTCTAGTTCTAGATCCTTGAGGAATCGCCACACTGTCTTCCACAATGGTTGAACTAGTTTACAGTCCCACCAACAGTGTAAAAGTGTTCCTATTTCTCCACATCCTCTCCAGCACCTGTTGTTTCCTGACTTTTTAATGATCACCATTCTAACTGGTGTGAGATGGTGTCTCATTGTGATTATAGCTAAAACTGAATAATCAAGTAACAGAATTATAAGCATATTAACTGGAAGAGTTGAATAAAAGTGATTGCCTCTGAGGAGCTGGAATTAAAGACGGTGGCAGGTGTACATCTTGTCTGTGTTTTAGTTCATAACTCAAGGATATATGTATATATCCAGGCATACGTTGGGGTTATATAGGTATGTATTTAAAGCAGATTGCCAAATTTTGAGGGTATACTGGTGTATCATAAACATAAACACATTTCCTAGAAAATAAATATTGTCTTTCATTATCATTCTTAGAAAGAAAACAAAGTTGCATGTTTCATGAGGGTAAAGATGTAAAAGAATTCTGGGTATTTTATCCTAAACAAAGGTATCATTTATTCTGCTAAAAAATTAAAATGTGCATAAATGTTTTAATTTACAAGAGAAAACTAAAGCCTTTAGAAAATATATTTCTTATAGCAAAACATAGAAATAAGAGAAAAATAGAATAATAAAACAAAATATGGCAGAATATCAGATTATTGACGTAAGAATACTGACACCAAGAATACTGGTGACAAATATCTGTTAAACTCCGCCTCTAAAATTATATTTAAGGAAGGGGAAAATGTTGATAATTATTTTTAAATTTCTCCTCATTATTTTTCTAATTGAATTATTTGTCATATTATAATATAGATGTTCAATGACACTTTCTACAATATCTAGTAGGTTATGTGGAAAAGCTAATTCTATAACTACAACCAACTAGTGACACAAACATAAAATTTAATTGTCAAAAAACCCTATATTCGGTAATAATAATAAAGTAGTTTAGTTTGACCATAGAGGTTGTTACCGCTTAATAAAATGAGTCATTATTTTATACTTCAATACGTTTAAATAGTTGGAGAGATAACATTTGATGTGAATATTCTAAATAATCTTAAATTTCTAAATTCTCTAGATTTTAGCAGCAGACAGAATCGTGATGGGATTAACGTAGCTTATTTCACCAATTTTTCTTCTTCTGATATTTTCAACATGCAAGAATTTACAGTGAATTTGTCCCTTGTAGACTACAATGAACACTCATCCAATCTCCATTATTGGTAAAAGATTTGACATGTGTTTGAGTATCTTTATCTAGAAGAATATGTTTCTGATGGTGACAGCCTTGCCTTTCTCTGATATTTTCACTTATAGAAAAGAAAATACTTTGAAAAAGTTAGCCTTTATTTAAACTTTTTAATTGATGCCTTCTCATTAACATAATGGAACAAGTTTATAGTGGAATTTCACATTTTCTCATTTCGAATTTGTTGTTTTCTTTTACCACTAGGTGAACATGCATTCTGGTTTGCCTGAAACCATCTCAGTTTATACCTGTGATGACGGTACAATTTTTTTTTTTTTTTTGAGACAGGGTCTCACTTTGTCACACAGGCTGGAGTGTAGTGGCACAATCTCAGCTCTCTGCAGTGTTGACATCCTGGGCTCAAGAGATCCTCCCACCTCAGCCCCCCAAATAGGTGAGATTACAGGAGTGCACCACCACAGGCAGCTAATTTTTTGCATTTTTGGTAGAGATAGGTTTCACCATGTTGCCCGGCTGGTCTCGAACTCCTGAGCTCAAGCAATCTGCCAGCTTCGGCCTCCCAAAGTGCTGAGATTACAGGCGTGAGCCATTGCGCCAGCTGGTACAATTTTTAATAGTGCTTTTTGACTCTCTATGCCTTTGCAGTTTGGACAATAAATTACTTGGTCACCCTACTTTAAAAATAGACATTCTTTTAATCTCAAACAGAAACTAATAACATCATTCCTTGATACTTCTGGTAATCAAACTTCAGCTCTTGAAAGAAAGAGTTGTAACAAAAGATTTTACCCGAGAGCAAAGACCACGTATAACATAAGCTGAGAATGAAGAATTGTTTTTTAATATGTGACTTGTCTCTCTATAAAACATGAGAGGTTTGAGAGGATACAGAAGGAATGTGATTGAAGTAGAAGAGTGATTGATAGCCATGGCCAGATAGTGGGGAATGTTTGCAACCTAGCAATAATAATAATAATTGTTGCTATTAAATGGTTCAGCAGCAATTTCCAGTGCATGTTGCCATGAGAGAAAAGATGGTGGAGGGTAGATGGTGGGTGGATTGGGTGCGAGAGAGGATATGGGGATCTAGCCGCTTTTTAATGGTTTTTTGTTTCAATCAATTCTCCTGCATGTTTCCTCATGAAATGCTTGTTATTGTTTTCTGCCTATTTTTGGTGGTTTTCAAGACTCTGAATATCACTAATGATGTATGCTGAAAATGTAAGCTCAATCTAGGGAGAATTTTAAAAGCTCCAAAGTTATTTTTGTGCCTTCTATATGTGAAAGTTGGTGTATCCCAATTAGATTAGAAGGAACTAGTAACCTAGATATACAAAGACTCTGGAAGAAAGGGAAAAAGCAAAAATCAGTTATCAAGTGACTGATCAGAAGATTACAGCATGATATCGCTTGGCACCAGTTGTATTATTCTCGCAGACAGTGTTTCTAAAAACAAGGTGAGGTTGAAAGTAATCTTCATCAGAAGCATGTGAAGCACTTCTCAGAATGCAAACCGAATGAACTAATAAAAAAACCTTGGAGATTGGGGCTCAGGAACTTTTCACAAACTCCCTCAAAGGATTATTATGTATACCAAAGTTGGAGAGCCATGCATTTGAGCTCTGTAGAAGTAGTAGAAAATCATTGTATTGGAACACCAAGTATATTATATATTTTATATATTTCATACAATTTTATTGGAACACCAAGTATGAGTATAATATATAGTATATATCTTTATATAGTATATATATAGTATGTCTTTATATAGTGTATATATACACTATATACACACTATATATAATATATGCTATATATTATAGTATATATAGTATATATACTATACTATATATAGTGTATATATATTATAGTATATATACTATATATAGTGTATATATAGTATATATACTATACTATATATAGTGTATATATATTATAGTATATATACTATATATAGTGTATATATATTATAGTATATATACTATATATAGTGTATATATTATAGTATATATACTATATATTATAATATATAGTATATATTATATAGTATTTATATAGACTATATATAGTAATATAATATATACTATGTATTATATTTAGTATATTTATATATCGATATATACTATATAATATATATCATATAGTATAATATATATTACATTATATATACCTATACATTATATAATATAACATACTATATATGTTACTATATACTATGTATGCATATGTAGTATGTATATATAATGTATACTATATAGTACATACTATATAGTGTATACTATATAAAGTATACTACAAATGGTATAGTATGTCTTTATATAGTATACTATAATGGTGTACTATTTAAATTCTACTGCTGAGGATATCCACATGAAACTCCTTTACAGTCACCAATGATTACACTGGAATATATGGGGAACTCACTGCCCTGGAAGCCACCCTTCACCAAGGGATTAATGAGAATCCATGGTTAAATGCTTCCTACATGAGTTTGATCCCCGGTGAACAGTTCTGCAACACACATCATAAGTCTCTTCAGAAGGTTCCTGTAGATGAAGCACAGTTGCCATTAATGGTGGACAACTTGATAATACATTCTTGTGTTGGCTTTCATTGTTTTGTTTTGTGTGATTTTTTTTTCTTTTTTTGAGACAGGGTCTTGCTCTGTTGCCCATGCTAGAGTGTGGTGGCATGATCACAGCTCATTGCAGCCTCGAATTCCTGGGGCTCAAGCCATCCTCCCAGTTCAGCGCCCCGAGTAGCTGGGACTGCAGGCCTGTACCACCAGGCCCATTTAATCTTGTGTTTGTTTTCATTCATTCCCTTTTATTTCTCCTGCTCTACGTGCTTGCTCCCAGGAATCCCATTGCCTACAGCTACCTGTGCCTTCATTGTTTGGGAAAACTCAGGCTAAAAAAAATTGATATTTGAATTGTTCCCAGAAAGCAGACCCTTAGTATAGATTTCGGAGTTGAGTGACCCATCAATCAGATGTGAATAATAACTCTTCTGCTAGTGTTAAGTGAGTGCTGTGAACTCCTGGCATATTCAGCATCACAAATACTAAGATTGCAGATTCGTGGATTGTAAAATAGATATAGGTAGAAGTTGAAACACTGGGTTATATGGTAGCTCTGTCTCTTAAAACATATGAGATCAATTATAATTTAAAAGACTGTAGCATTGCCTATTTTTTTCTTAACTATTTTGGAATCCTGGGGAAAAAAGAAGCCAGGAGGGACTATGTGGCAGAAAGCCCTCTCACCATCACTTTCAATAACTCCTTTTTAGAATTTCTTTCCGTCTTCACAACCTCAGGCTTTATTAGGTGAGAGGATCTGGATTTTAGGGAGGGAACAAATTTATCAGGGCATAGGCCCTAACTAATGAATGTCTGGGTCGTCTCTCTAGGAAGAAACTTAGTGCAGAATAGTTCTACAGGTGGTCTTTGACCAACCAAATTCTCTCCTTTTTTTTTTTTTTTTTGAGATGGAATCTTACTGTGTTGCCCAGGCTGGATTGCAGTGGGGCAATCTTGGCTCACTGCAACCTCTGCCTCCTGGGTTTAAGTTATCCTTTGCCTCAGCCACCCAAGTAGCTGGGAGTACAGGCACATGCCACCACTCCCAGCCAATATTTGTATTTTTAGTAGAGATAAGGTTTCGCCACGTTGGCCAGGCTGGTCTCGAACTCCTGATCTCAATTCACCTGCTCGGCCTCCCAAAGTGCTGGGATTACAGGCGTAAAATTAACTGTGGAATGTGCTGGAAATGCAATATCCTAAGATAGTATAGGACTGGCCAGAACAACCTGGGCTCTGTTCACCTTTCTCCCCCGCCTACCCTAGAAACAAGATGTCTTTCACTGCATTAGCCCAGCAATCCCTACGACCCCTGGGCTATAAGTCCCTGGACAGGCTGCTTTCTGGAAGCCCTCGGACACTTTGTAAATAAGACTCCATCCTCCCTGGGCAGCTTTCCTGAGCTGTGGGGCATCAGCTCACAAGGAATATTAGGCTTCTATCGTTCCTTGCTGCCTACCTCTAAATAATAAATGTGCTTCATGTAATTTGTGTGTGGGGGTGTTCTCCATAAGACTCAAACAAGTTGGTAACCTGTACACCTGCTTCACACTTAGATTAAAATGCTGACCAATCATGAGGGGAAACACGAAGGAATCAGGGAAGAGGGAGATGGTTAAGTATGATGGTGTTAAGACCAGCTGCAGCAGCCAGGACTATAGCTGTTTGTACTAAGACATTGCAGAAATTATAGCAGACCTACCCTTAAAAAATGAGTCTGTGATTGATTGGACTCACTGTATGGTATGAGTTGATCTCAGTGAACAAGATATAGACTATATCCGATAGCTTTCAAACACAATTTCAGTATCTCCTTAGCTTTAGCTTTTACCCCAGCTACAGTGGACAGGACCAGTTCCAGATAGGCTTCAACCAACTTTGCGCAGGGGCAATGAGATAGGGCCTCACCACCCACCAGCACCACGTATCACTTCCTGGGTCCCCTCCTTGGGTCGTCTTTGTACCATGGTAAGGGACCTCCATAGGAACTAGCTAGGCAGTCATGCAAGTGAATCCTAGAGGTTTAGAAAGTTACTATCTGGGAGCATCCCTTGAAAAAAAGAAGAAGCATGATAGATAAATGTGTCCTTCTTTCATCTCCAGGCAGACAGTTCTGAGGCACATTTTAAGCCTCTTCAGTAGGTCCTTGCAGGATTAAACACCAGCCATAGTCACATTGTTAATGCATCCCTCTAGTGGTTTTCCCTACCTTGTCTTTCATTCCCCTGTTTGACATGCCTGCTTACAGGGATTACATGCCAGACTTGTCACAGGCTCAGCATTCAGGTGAATGGAGCCTAAGGTGATTAGGATGACACAAAATGGGAGAAAAGAACTGATGACACTGTGAAGATCAAGATTAATCATGCAGGCAGAAAGAGGATCTGGAATCTGCTTTCTAATTACCAAATGGGCCTAAAGATATGCTGATACACTTCAACCCAACTTCAAGAATTGTAAGACTGTGAGCATCTAATAAATTCTCAATTGCCTTTACTGTATATTGATTGTTTATAAATGTAGAAAGAATACAACAGCTGTGGCTTGTTTGAATTTCTTCCATGAAAAAAAGACTGGGGAGTGACACAGAGGAAATGAAAATCACGGGGAAAACGTGATTATTCTCTGGAATTAAGAATAAATGAGTTTAATGACGGGTTGAGTCAACATGCTCCCCAATTTCTTCTGGAATTAAGAATAAATGGCTGGGCGCGGTGGATCATGCCTGTAATCCCAGCACTTTGGGAGGCCGAGGTCAGTGGATCAAGAGGTCAAGAGATCGAGGCCATCCTGGCCAACATGGTGAAACCCCGTCTCTACTAAGAACACAAAAATTAGCTGGGCGTGGTGGCATGCACCTGTAGTCCCAGCTACTCGGGAGGTTGAGGCAGTAGAATCACTTGAACCCAGGAGGTGGAGGTTGCAGTGAGCCGAGATCACACCACTGCACTCCAGCCTGGCACAGAGCAAGACTCCACCTCAAAGTTAAAAAAATAAATAAATAAATGAGTTTAATGATGGGTTGAGTCAACATGTGACCCAATGTTTTGAAAGTAGATTTTAAAATTCTCAGATTAAAATTAAATATAATTCTGTTGGCAGAAACCCCGAAAAGGATGAAACTCAAAAATAGTGGGACACTTTAAATCGACTAATATTTCTACAGTTTGAAGTACATCTCATGACATAAAATTGGAGACTCTGTTAAAATCATTCTACGTACATACCAAGATTCTGTGATAAGTTCAGATGTTAAAGGACGTTTCTAGAAAATAGAGAGATACTATACCAAGAGTGATGAAACAACAGTATGATGCAAGCTTCTAAGAATTAAAGCAAAATTGGTAAAGCCAAGAGCGAGCAAACATTTATAAACAATGTTAAAAATGAAAAAACCAAAATTACTTAAAATATATTCTTGGAGAAAGAAAATAAGGAAGGAAAGGGTGAAGCTTCTGTCTGGAAAATATAAGCAATACGCATAATGGTATCAAGCTGGAGAAGATATAGTAAGGTATTTACAGCCCAAAGAAAGCCACACTTAACCAATAAAACAGGGAAGAAAAACTTACCAAATCACTTTTCGATATACTTTATTTCCCAAAATTGTTTGTGTCCTTAGCTTCTTCTGGATGATTGAAATGATTTCAGTGTAAAACAATCTGATTGCATTTGTGAAATGCAAGACTTAGAAAACTCAAACTTATGTGTGAAATAAAATATTTTACTTTCCACGATTCTGTAATTGAGGAACAGCATTTTATTTAACTCACAGAGGTAAACAGTTCTTAGAGATAGAGTAGCGGCTAGGAATACAGGTATCACACGTGTAGACCCATAGAAAACACACGCGCAAGGATATGTTAACACAAGTTAGGATACTTTAGGTCGCAAGTAAGTATGGTTTATATATAGGAGGCTAGGAGAAGCAATTTATTGGGGGCAGACCGCAAGAGAGCCATGGGATTTCCAAGCCCAGACAAAGGGGTATGGGAAAAGGTGTCAGGCTTCTCTGAACCATCCAGGAAGTCTTTGTGAGGCAGACAACTTAAGGGATGTTAAAATGTCTACAGATGTGTAAACCTAGTCATTTCAAGCATGTATTTATCCCTGAAATTGAACCCATGTGTGTCAAGTCACTGACTATAGATTTCAAAGGGAAGCAGGACTGAACATTTCTGTTCCAAGCAGGGTTTTTTTTTTTTTTTTTTTTTTTTTTTTTTGTAGTAGTAGCAGCTGCATTGGTTTTAAGATAAGGGCTTCTTTATCCAGGCAGATGCAGCAGTCATCAGAAGCTAATTTGCTGGGATATTCACATATGCAAATCATGTCACAATGCTGAAATGCAACCACGTAATGACTGGAAAATGTTATACTCATAAATCATACCGCCACGATCATCAAAATTTCCACTCAGCCAGGACAAATTCAACAGCATTTATGTCTTTCCAGCTTTTAGCCCATAAAAACTCTGTGTTTTTGGAGAGTGTGTTACACTGGTGATCTTAAAACTCCCAAGTCTGGTATAATGAGTTCTCAAGTGCGTTATAACTTACCAGTAATTACATTTCAACATATCTGCTTTCAGCAGTTAGTGTTTTATTCATAAACATTTAAACACTGAATTAGGCATAAAATAAGAATGTTGGCAACAACCTGGCTTAATTTCATTAGCTATTAGGTAAACTTAGTATTTCTTCTTCAAATAATCCTTGGTTTTGAATGCTAAAGATGTAATGAACTTCATGGTTCATAGCATCTGACATTGCTTAATTAATGGGTGCATTTATAGTACATAGGCCTTGGTAATTGATTTATATGCATGATTTGCACATACAGCTGTTAGTTCCTGTAGGAAAGTCATAATTCAAATGTATGCATACTTTGCAGATATGGGAGAAAGAAGAAAAAATTAGAACTTGACAAGTTCCCCCAAAACATGATAGCAAATTAATTGCTTAGAAACAAACCTACGGGATGAAGCATTAAAGTTATTGTCTTGAATTTTAACAGCATGTGCTTTTCAAAAAATACCGAGAAAATGGTTTGGGTTCTTTTTAAATGTTTACCTTCCTAAGAAATAAGAATTAGTTTACATATCTTTCTGTTCTAATCCATGCATTGGAAGAAAAATGTGGTTAGATTACAGACAGAGTCAGCTTCATTAAAATAGAGCAAGGTCTTGAGACATTCACCTCCTTAATAACTGGTCCTTTCTTTGGTATGTAGGTCAAATGGCTACATAAGAATGTATATGTGTTATTCCCTAGACATAAAGGGTCTACACCATTCATGTTTGGGGTTCGAGTAATATCCTCCCTAGAAGTAATGATAGATTTCCATTTACATTTACTTAGCTAATTCCCTAAGTGAACAATAATACTAATTTACAAGCAAGCTCCCCTTAAGTGAGGACACAGTTTGAACTGGCAAACAGGGAGAAACTAATAGATCTTCTGAGCAGAAGCGGCTGCTCCCTTATATAAGGAATGATGTCTGAGCCATGGTAAGCACTGTATCTCTATTTCCTCTGTTGCACCCAGGGACCTATACTATCAGAAAGAAACTACCCTTTCTCTCTTCAGGGTCTTGGGTTAAGTCTTCTCTAAATGTAAGACAAGCATTTTATGGGCAGGCACAGGAATTCCGCTTTTCTATCTTGTATAACAGATTACTTGTGAAAGCCAAAGTTGCAAATTGAGGGGTCAGAACTGAAGAATATCTGAGCTCCGAGGGCAAAAGTCTCCGGCAACATTAAAGAAGGTTGAGGTAGAGAAAGGGTTGTTTCTGGATGGTCCATGACCCCAAGAGAAGAGCAGCCTCCTCTGGGTTCGCTCTTGGTCTGTGCTGTGGCCCCGCACTGCACCTGACACCTCTCACTTACGGTGCTATTTGCCACAGACGTTTAGCGCTTCTATCCACACCAGTGATGGCCACTGGTCCTTTCCCCATTTGTTAGCTGCTGGAGTTATTTCAGTGAGGATTTTGGGAAACTCTTGCAAACATTATATGTTTTCTTTCTTTCTTTCCTTTTTTTTTTTTTTCCAGGCAGCTATCAAAGTGCTTTACGCACATTAAAACATTCATAGCCCAGGCACCTTGATGGCTTCCACCATGTTGGTCCGATTTCCTGGTGCTCCAAGGCACTGCTTAGCTTTTCACTTTCTAACTCTATACTCTACATCTGCTACTCTAATGCCTTCATTCATCAGAGGACCGGCAGTTGTAAATTTTTCCAAAGCTATTTCCACACATGCGCATGGGCGCCTGCGCACGTGCGTAAAGAGTTGACATGATGAAAGGTAGAAGCTGGACTGAGATGCTGTGGCTTCTTCTGATAGAGTAGTTTAAGATGTTGGCACTTACAGACAATTCCTATCCACACATCCTGCCCTGTTTTGGTTTTCAAGTCCCAAATCCTGCATTGTCAGGACTGGAGATGATGAAATAGTAACATATAAAACATATGCATGCTCTCTTTGAAGAAAATCCTAGGTTTGCAACTCCTTATACTCACATATTGGAATTTTGCTTTTGGTCCAAGTTTTCAAGTTTTAGAATTAATTCTAAACTCTTTTATCTTGCCATCATTAATAATTTCCGTTATATAGTTCATCAAGAGACCAGAAAGGTGACTTGGGTGAGATGTTAAGTCCCTATTAGAGAACAGTACAAATAATTAACTTTAGGTCAGTGTCCCAGAGTCTAGCGAATGACAGTTATTTATGTAATTCTGCCAGATACAAGGTTAATCTTTATACATAGCCCAGGGTCATTATTTGGTACCTCGGGAAATTACGGGAAGCAACAACAACTACTCTTCATATGTGTGGCATGCCCCACTTTAAATACTTCCCCAAGCGTTAGCTCATTCAAGCCTCAAAACAATTCTGTGTCACAGGTAGTGAACAGGTTAGCGTTGTGCCTTTTCTATGGTAACAAAACTGGGGAGAATGGGGTAAAAGAAATGGAGCTAATACATACATTTGAATCTTTTAAAGTTCAAATTATATGACCTTTCTCTTATACCAAACCATTATTCATTTTCACTCTATTCCTTCTATTTCTTAATTATAAGAGGGGTTTAATGATACATATTTATAAAGTTAAACTTTTAATCTCTTTAAATTCAAAAATAAAATAATAAAATTCTCTTCCTTATAATGTGTGAAAAACAGTTATTGCTAGCTCCTGTGACCACAAGCACTTACATGAGAGATGACAAATTCTATAGTAGAATTGATGGATGATCTTACACCAACAAATGGCAAAGGTAATCCATTTATTTATTCCTCCTTCTTTCTTCTTTCTTTCTTTCATTTAAAAATATTAATTGACATTTACAGTATACGTGTCAGGCACTTAAATGAGTAGCTAAAATAGTGACACTTTGCGGTAACACTGGTGAAAGTTTACTCAAGATACTACTGGCAGAGAATGTGGCAGAAGAAGCAGTTCTGTGAACCAGGGAAGTTATGTTCTAGTTAGATAAACATTAGTCTCCCTAAATTTTTGTTTGTTTTAATTTAAGGGATTGGATTGGATAATATCCAAGAGTTCTACAACTCCAACATTTTATCAAATTGAATTTCTCACCTTAAGAAGAGCTAAATATTATGCCTGGGTCTTACTGTCTTTATAAGTAGTCAATAAAGTATTGCACGAGCCACTATACGAACCTAAGAAACTCTATAAACCAGTGTGCGACATAACAGAATAAGCCAGATATGAAGACTCTATATGGTAAAGATTTTCTAGAGTAAAGGACTTTTATCTCAATTTCTTAAAAAATTTATAAACAAATGTCATGACACACTTCTTACAATTAAAGCGAGGCTTGAGCTATCTAGCCTTAAAACTTAAACATGTAAATAACAAGAAGTAAGAACTGACATTTCTTGAGTCCCTGCTATGTTTTCAGGCCTAAATTAGGTACTTTGCTCTAAATGAGCTCATTACATAGAATGCCTTATAGCTCCTTTACTTAGATTAGCTCCTGGTTACTGGTTGTAAAGATTACTTCTCTTACGGGTGTGGTTAGTATTAACCACTCCGTATGTATTTTCACCTTCTCTAGCACACACGTCTTGCTCTATTCAGACAGTTCTCTTCAGTTTTCTCAGCCCACACATTCACCGCCTCCTTCTCTTTGTCATATCTTCCCTCCTTCTCTTTGTCTCTTCTTCTCTTATTTTTTCTTGCTTATTTCTTCCTTCAACAAATGTTTATCAAGCATCTACTACGTACCAGCTGGCACTATTCCTTTGTGTTGTACCTACACCAGTGAGGGAAACAAAGTTCCTGATCATACATCTCAGTTGGAGACATATTATAATTAGATACAAGTATACCTGGTTGTTTTAAGAGCTATGAAGAAAAATAAAGCAGGATGAGGACACAGAGTATGACTATTCCTATCCAACCTCTGACCGTTGTCTTTATGCTGTTCTGAGGGCTCTGTCTCCTCTGGCTACTGGAAGTCTATCCATTCCTTAGTTCCCAGCACAAGCCTCAGCACTCCATGCAAGCTTTTGCAGCGTCCAGCATCCATTCACATGTCTTTTAATTTTTCTGAACTCTTCTTTTGCACTTATTGTTAGCACCTGAGTATTTTGAACATGCTTCTTCTCCAGTTGTTTTGTCAGTCATAGCCTGGTCCACTCAGCTTGATTGCAGTGTCTTTGAGAGCAGAGACCATGAATTACATTACTTTTGCACTTTTCTCAGCCCTTTGCTTGAGAGCAAACACATACTGGGTGCTCAACTAGTTCTCATAAAATGATGTTTACAGAAACATTTTATAGAAATATGAAGATATCCTATGGAAAAAATATAGGTTTAGTAATGAGTTTTAATGAAGCCCTGATGTGCTAAAAGCTATGCAGAATAGAAAGGGAAAATATTTTTTCCATTTTGATACTAAAACTTTATAGTGACGTAAATTTTTTATGTAACCCGGAGTAAGGGTTTTTAACTCTTCTTGAGTCACAGATTTCTTCGGCAATCTGTTGAAGTCTATAGATCTACTTGCAGAACATTTTTTTTGGAGACAGAGTTTCACTCTTGTTGCCCAGGCTGGAGTACAATGACGCGATCTAGGCTCACTGCAGCCTCCGTCTCCCAGGTTCAAGCGATATTCTCGCCTCAGCCTCCCAAGTAGCTGGGATTGCAGGTGCCTGCCACTATGCCTGGTTAATTTTTTGTACTTTTAGTAGAGGGGGGTTTCGCTGTGTTGGCCAGGCTGGTCTCAAACTCCTGGCCTCAGGTGATCTGCCTGTCTCGGCCTCCCAAAGTGCTGGGATTACAGGTGTAAGCCAACGCACCTGGCCAGAATAACGTTTTTGAATGTACAAAATAAAATACTTAAAAGAGTACAAAGGAAACTGATTGTATTAAAGTTACCAAAGTGTAAAGGAATTTGTAGAATAAGGCACACACTGTCTTAATGAGATCACGTGGTGGATCTAATAACTACCACAATGACAGAGGGGTGATGAGAGATGGACAGAAATCATATTCGAGGATATGTGCAATAATGCGATATGACAAACACCTGCAATTTCTTCTGGTGACAAAATTGTAAGTACTGATTATACTACCATGTTTTCTGGCCATATTAAGAATGAAAGGAAATGCTAAAAATTTCCATTAGTTACTAGAAAAAAAATCAAGTGATTTTTCCCATCCAGGCTCACAGATTCCCTGAATTCTCTTGAGGGATTCTGGGTGTGGGTGTGAGTGAGTGTTAATCCCAGGTGAAGCATCAGGCTCTGTGGTCCTCTGTGATCATCTAGAATTCGGATTCAAAGACAGCTCGATTCTTAGGAATCAATAGTCCACTTTAATCTACAGCATAAAATGCCAGACACAAATGACTTAGAACAGTTTGATGTACTGAAGAAAAACAAAATTAATCATAGAAATGTATACTGAAATTAAGCACAGCAGGTAAACAAAGATCCTGTATGGATTTCAGATGATGCCACACATCAGTGCACTCACACACATTGTCTTTCTATTTCTGCTGCAAAGAGGTCTTATTGGAAACAATTAAATATGTAAATGAGAACTGGGAAATAGCGCTGTGGATCTACAGAATATTTAGTCATTTGCTGTTTTATAAATTTCAAGTTTTGGCGTCTTAGCAGCAGGACCTCTCCCAGGTTTAGATACCCGGGTTTTCAGTGGATAACAGAATTACCTTTAGTTAATTTGATCAAGTATCTTTATTCAGTATGGTAGAAGTTATTTGTTCTGGAAATTTTTCTCGTTCTGCCTCAAGCCATAGACCACTTGAATCTGGCTAAATGGATGCCTTACTATTTATACATAACATGAAGACCCAGGCTCAATTTAGAAACCTGCAGGCTATAAGGATGCTGAAAAGTAAAGGAACCATCACAGGGATAAGGAACAAGCCTGTGTAATCTATAGCAGTTGGCTAGAATCCTTACTGCCTAGTCTTTACAGACAGAACTGTGTGAATTTTAAGTCATGAAACTTGATGTTCATTCCATAAGGAAAATTGGCTTTCCTAAGGTGATTATATACTGACATATCTTGGGTGAAATAAACAGCTTCTTTTCATGCATCTGAGAAAGGTTGTTAACTCTACAACAAACACATCTCTTCAAGCCCTATTGCCTAGACAAGGAAAGCAGTACCTGAAAATCCAGGAAGAAGGATCTTTCATGATGAACCCACTATAGATTTTCCCCAGAAGCTGTGTTATTTCAGGTAGGGGTTGGTGGGGAGGGAGTGGCTGTGTGTCCAAGGGTATTTGAGAAGCTTTATCTTCCTGTGATCATATAGATAACATTCAAGAAATGGAATCTGGGGAAAGTGTGTACATTTCCACATAATCAAGATGAGACTTTTTTTTTTTTTTTTTTTTTGAGATGGAGTTTCACTCTTGTCACCCAGGCTGGAGTGCAATGGCGCATTCTTGGCTCACTGCAACCTCCACTTCCTGAGTTCAAGCGATTCTCCTGCCTCAGCCTTCCAAGTAGCTGGGATTACAGGCGCCTGCCACCACACCTGGTTAACTTTTATATTTTTAATGGAGACGGGGTTTCACCATGTTGGCCAGGCTGGTCTTGAACCCCTGATCTCAGGTGATCCACCTGCCTCAGCCTCCCACAGTGTTGGGATTACAGACTTGAGCCACCGTGCCCGGCCGAGACGATGTTTTTAAACAGAAGTGAGATTCTTCTGTTAGTACCACTTTAATTAAATAAATAAATAAGACAACCACTACGGTGGTGCCATAAGAGGTAAATGAAATTATGAAAATCCATATTAAAGAGTGACTATAAAGTTGAATCAACCTGGTTGGTATATATGAAAGATCTAGAAAAGCACATTACCCTAGTTTAAATAACAATTGTATAATTTTAAAAAAAACTATTATAATGGTAAGACAATGAAATTTTTAAAAATTTTTTTGAGTTCACGGTTAATGTAAAATTAAGTGTCTTTTTCCCCTTATATTTTACATCTGTGGTAATATTTTATCCCTAAATAAAAAAGATATTATTATACCAGGCCAGAAGAAATATCTTCTTATTACAAATTGGATATTGTAATCAGATAGAACTTGTTTCAGTCTAGGTGCTATCTAATATTTGATTTTCTAATCACAACCAACTCACTTTATCTCTCTGAGCCGTAGTTTTCTTATTTTGTAAGCTATTGTGAAAACAGTTGTTGCAGAGGTTAAATGTGTTAGCACAAGGAAAACACTGTGCCTATCACTTAGTATGTCCTCAAAGAAATCAAGCTTTTATTAGATACTTGACTAGACTGGGTACTTCAGAAGGCAATTGCCTGTTGTGGCCAAAATTCTAATATAAAGTCCTGTAGCGCATGTTTGTACTCACAAGTCAAATTTCTTCATTCAGCATTTTCAGGGAGACTTCCAAGCTCTACAAGAAAAAATATATATTGTTATAAAAAGTTTCTCAAATTTTAACTTATAAAACCAACAAAAAGCAAATAATATCCAAGCTTATCAGCCCGTTGCTATGAAAAAGATATTGCTGACACGGTTGAGCTAACAATATTGCTGTATGTGTGCCTTCCTTTGTTAATGAAGATACCCAGGACTTTTGCAAAACCCTAATCATTGTGTCTGAATGTCCGTGGGACTGGCACATCCAGGGTCAGAATCCAATCTGCATCCGCCGGGTGCTTTCCCTCTCTCTTACTAGGTACTTACTGGGCATGCGTACCTATTGCCTAGCTATGTTCTGCTTCTCCATGTCTCCTGACGTTCCTCCGAGGCTATGGGATCCATTCAGGCACATTCCCTAAGCTTTCCCAAATCGCAAAGCTGAGCAGAAAAGATGAAATGGCCCAATCTCTGTAGAGGTCAGACATTTTTCCTGGGCCCTAGTGAGACAACAGATTTCCCCTTGGCCCTACCTGTTGATGGCCTTAGCACTTCCTGCCCTGTCTTCTTCCCACTCCCCAACAAAGAAAGAAAGAAAAAATCAGAAGTCAATGTGAACATCTTCTCTTCATTAGCCTCCTTTTCTCACAGGTTTCCCAGGTTCCACAATCCATTCTCAGTGAAACCAGGTGGCTTCCTTGGCTTCCATTCCATAGTGGCCCTGGAGAGTAACCTAGTTACTTTTTAGGAGGTCATTAGGACGCCTTCCAGCATCTGACCAAGTTCTGATCTGGTGGGGAGAGTCCAGCTGTAAGATAACAAGCATATTTGTTTAGAATTTTGTTTTCCCTAATCTGGCTACGCAGACTGCATAGTTCTTACTCATTCGTGGAAGCCCAGTGTCTTCTTTTCTAATCTTAGAAAATTATTGGCATTTCCTTCAGAATGGGAATGAGTTGATGTTGAGTCTGTGATTAAAAATAAGTTTCAAGTAAACAGGTTTCTGGGGGAAGAATCCCATGGCTATGCAAAGGGATTACAGTGAATTCTAAACATGGTGTACTTTACAACTATTAGGAGACAATAATTTTAACAGTTCTACAGATGATTAAAAAGCCATTTTCTAAAATATTCTCACTGGAGTTTTTTAAAAAAGAAAACATTTAATTGCTCCAATCAACCATAACTACTTTCTGCTTATGGTGTAATTTGTCTACTCTGATCACATGGTGTGGCTATTTGTCATAATTTTATAAGTGTATATTCCCCACTGTAGTGATTGGCTGTCATTAATTGTGAATAATTCCCTGCTCATTAAAGTCCTGCAAGAAGACTGAAAAGCCAGGCCCAGCAAACAAGACGAGGATGAGAAGCCTTGGTCAGAGTCCTCTCCATACATAAACGTTATGTTTTCCAAGACTTTATAAACTTGGAAGGCATTTAAAAATAATACAAACAAGTGACAAAAGCAGCTCTTCAAGGTTTCTCAGGTAAAAAATGGAGCCTGACTTATGCTTTCTCTGCTGCAGGTAGCAATTACTTTATGCAGCTCAAATAAGCTTTACTTTTAAATATTTAAACCTGCTGCAACCCTTCTTTTCACTGTATAGGTTAAACCATCCTGACAGGAAACAGGAAATTGCATAAGGATTGTCCCAAAGGGACCATTTCAAAATATAGTAATCCTATTACCTAGTTAGAGAACATCAAATCCTTACTCTGTGCAAATGGCTTAGAAGATATAAGATCTAGAAGTAACATCTATCTGAGTGTCTTAATAGGCTCTTCAATATGAATAAGTTCTATGATGCTAATGAGAATGAAAACAATCCAGGTTTATTTAGAATGGGGCAGAATCCAGGAAAATAAGAGCCAAGTACTGTGCTAATCATAAACATCTGTAGTCAGCTGTCTGTAATAGTTTATCTATTTCCTTGGTATAATAAAAAAATGACATTTTAACTTTATATGAAATATCCCACTCCTTACCCATTGTCATCATTCCTTTTAGGTGAGGTCTTTTGTCTGTTATTTTCGTTCTTACCTCTGCTCTCTGTGCCTCTGTGTGTGGGATGCAACCTTATTCTGCAAATTCTCCTACCCATTATTCCAGTGGTTCCTGAATTCCCACTGTTTTCTCCATAAAACCTTTAATAAATCAACCCAGAAGAGCTCATAGAATGCTGTTTAACCTTCCTGAGAAAGTGACAGGGAGAATGACATCAGTTCTCTGGCTGCCTCCTCACACCTCAGAACAAAAATTGCACTGCCTCTGAATGATGCTTTGGGAATATTTGCCCACTCATAGAATGTATATATTTGTTAATGACTTTTCAAGTCAAATTAATAACTATATCATCCCTTATTATCGACAAGGCACTTCTTTCCAAGTCAATGTTGAATATTATTAGGTTTATACATAATTTTCCATGGCATCTTGGGCAAACAGGCTTATCAGTCAATAATGATAATGACAATAATGATCATCATTATCATTAATAAAGCTAGAAGTGTCCTGGACTTGGATCAGACAAGGAATAGCATTGAAGGCCCCATAAATTGTGCCAATGGGTTTTACATATATTAATATAAGCAGGAAATCATAGCTCCCTTCATGTCAATATTTTCCTCTGTGTGTGTGTGTGTGTGTGTGTGTGCAGGCACATGCACATACACGTGTGATATGGCTTAACTCTGTCCCCCTCCCGCATATCTCATCTTGAACTGTAGTTCCCATAATCCCCATGTGTCATGGTAGGGACCAGGTGAGAGGTAATTGAATCATGGGGGTGATTACTCCTATGCTGTTCTCCTGATAGTAAGTTCTCATCAGATCTGGTGGTTTTATAAGGGACTTTACCCCCTTTGCTCAGAACTACTGTCTCCTGTTGCCATGTGAAGAAGGATGTGTTTGCTTCCCTTTCTGCCATGATTGTAAGTTTCCTGAGGTCTCTCCAGCTGTGCAGAACTGTGAGTCAATTACACTTCTTTCCTTTCTAAATTACCCAGTCTTGGCTAGTTCTTCATAGCAGTGATAGTGGCAGGAGGTAGGCAAATGCCTAGGCAGACAGGGGCGGGTACCCAGTGAAACCCCACCTTCAAGCCTAAGACAATTTAAAGCCTAGCTACAAGTCCTGGTAGATCCATAGACCAGATTGAGAACCTGTCTTCCCATTTCATGTACTTTCCTCTGGTTGGTCCCCATCCTTCACCTATTTTGCAGATACCTATCCTTTTCTAATTGGTTTTCTACACTGTCGTGCCCACCTTTAAGTGGTGTCTTCATGTTAAACTTTTTTGCATACTCACAAACCAATCAGCACACACTCCCCTACTCTGAGCCCATAAAAAGCTCTTGGCTTGCCCACACTGGAAGACAAACCACCATCTTCATCCCCTCTCCACTGAGAGCTATTCCATCACTCAATAAAATTCTTCTCCACCAATCCTCACCCATTGAATTGTCAGTGTATCCTCATTCTTCTGGGACATGGGACAAGGGCTTGGGAATTGCCAAACACAGGTACAAGTTATTACACAGTTGGGCTGAGTGGGTGAGGCTCCTGCAGCAGCAGGCCTGGGGCAAAGTGAGTCCCAGGCAACAGTGGGGCATTGCTGGCTGTGGAGATTCTTGGTTGACAAGATGGCCAAGAAAAATCATGTGTCGGCAGCATGAGAATGGGCTAATACAGTAAATTGGTGCTACAGAGAGTGGGGCACTGCTCTAAAAACACCCAAAAATGTGGAAGCAACTTTGGAACTGGGTAACAGGCAGAGGTTGAAAGAATTTGGAGGGCTCAGAAGAAGATAGAAAGATGTGGGAAAGCTTGGAACTTCCTAAAGACTTGGTGAATGGCTTTGACCATATATCCTAAATCATCTCTCTCAAGTTCAAAGTTTTACAGATCTCTAGGGCAGGGGCAAAATGCTACCAGTCTCTTGGCTAAAACATAGCAAGAGTGACCTTTACTCAAGTTCTCAACAAACTCCTCATCTCCATGTGAGACCACCTGGCCTGGAGTGTATGGACAGCAAAATCCGTACACTTATTTAGGGTATATGATTTAGGGTATATGGTGGAGGAAATTTCTAAGCAGTAAAGCATTCAATAGCATAAAAGTTTGGAAAATTTGCAGCCTGACAATGCAGTAGAAAAGAAAAAACCATTTTCTGGGGAGAAATTCAAGCTGGCTGCAGAAATTTGCATAAATAATAAGGAGCCAAATGTTAATCTCCAAGACAATGGGGAAAATGTCTCCAGGTCATGTCAGAGACCTTCATGGCAGCCCCTCCCATCACAAGCCAGGATGCCTAGGAGGGAAAAATAATTTCCTGGGCCAGGTCCAGGGCACCCCTGTTGTTTGCAGCCGTCGGACTTGGTGCCGTGTGTCCCAGGCTCTACAGCCTTGGCTAAAAGGGCCAAGGTGCAGCTCAGGCCATTGTTTCAGAAGGTGCAAGCCCCAAGCCTTGGTGGCTTCCACATAGTGTTGGTTCCACAGGTACACAGAAGACAAGAATTGAGGTTTGGGAACCCCCACCTAGATTTCAGAAGATGTATGGAAATGCCTGGATGTCCAGACAGAAGTTTGCTGCAGGGGCAGAGCCCTTATAAAGAACTTCTGCTAGGACAGTGCTAAAGGGAAATGTGGGATCAGTGCCTCCACACAGAGTCCTCACTGGGGCACTGCCTAGTGGAGCTGTGAGTAGAGGGCTACCGTCCTCCAGAAGGTGGTGGAGGTAGATCCACTGACAGTTGCACCATGCACCTGGAAAAGCTGCAGATGCTGAGCGCTAGCCTGTGAAAGCAGTTGGGAGGAGTCTATACCCTGCAAAGCCACAGGGCCTGTACTCTTCTTACTTCCATTGTGGAGTAGTACAGTGATTTCATCTTGATAGTCCATGTCAATCACCCCAGCCAACATTGTAACTCCCTTCTTAGCCTGTTGATTTAAAGGTAAGAGGAGCCCAAAGTGTCCAGATTGGAATCTTAACTTCCAGTTTAATGAAATCGTTGTTGTGTCTCCTGGTGGTAGCATTCCTACCTCTGGAACTAAGACCCCTAGGCTAGCAGAACGTAATGTTGCAGGAACAAGTAGCAAAAATTTTGCTAGTGGATCACTAGGGGTGATGGTGAATGGTGCAACTTCCACTTCCATCCCTAGATTCCTGAACCTGTGAATCCCTGGCTATGGGAGAAACAGTACAATATATTGGATGCTGATTCAGAGAACACATGGCCTTCTGGACATCTTTGCACCAGCCCTGCAAAGTATTGTCACATAGTTGGCATTGTAATTGTGACTTCAAAAGGCCATTCCACAGTTCTATCAATCCAGCTGCTTCAGGATGATGGGAAACATGGTAAGACCAGTGAATTCCATGAGCATGAGCCCATCACTGCACTTCTTTGGTCTAAAGTGAATGCTTTGGTCAGAGGCAATGCTGTGTGGAATACCATAACAATGGATAAGGCATTCTATTAGTCCATGGATGGTAGTCTTGGCAGAAGCATTGTGTGCAGGATAGGCAAACCTATATCTGGAGTAAGTGTCTATTACAGTGAGGACAAACTTCTGCCCTTTCCATGATGGAAGAGGTCCAATATAATCAATCTGCCACCAGGTGGCTGGCTGATCACCCTGAGGAATGGTGCTATATAAAGGGCTCAGTGTTGGTCTCTGCTGCTGGCAAATTGGGCACTCAGCAGTGGCCATAGCCAGGTCAGCCTTGGTGAATGGAAGTCCAAGTTTGCTGAGCCCATGAGTAACCTCCATCCCTGCCACTATGGCCACTTTGTTCATGGGCCCATTGGGTGAAGACAGAAGTGGCTGGGGAAAGAGACTGAGTGGTGTCCACAGAACGGGTCACCCTATCCACTTGATTATTAAACTCCTCCTCTGCTGAGGTCACCCGTTGATGAGCACTAACATGAGACACAAATATCTTCACAGCTTTTGACCACTCAGAGAGGTCCATCCACATACCTCTTCCCCAAATTTCTTTGTCACCAATTTTCCAATCTTGCTTCTCCCAAGTCTCTGACCATCCAGCCAAACCATTGGCTACAGCCCATGAATCAGTATATAATCCTACATCTGGCCATTTCTCCTTCCATGCAAAGTGCACAACCAGGTACACTGCTTGAAGTTCTGCCCACTGGGAAGATTTCCCTTCACTGCTGTCCTTTAGGGATGTCCTAGAAAGGGGCTGTAGTGCTACAGCTGTCCACTTTTGGGTGGTGCCTGCATATCGTGCAGAACCATCTGTGAACCAGACCCTAGTCTTCTCTTCCTTTGTCAACTGATCATAGGGAACTCCCCATGAGGCCATCAGTGCAGGCTTGGGGAGAGAAGGCAGGGTGGCAGGAGTGGAGACCATGGGCATTTGAACCACTTCCTCATGTAACTTACTTGTGCCTTCAGGACCTGCTCAAGACTGATCACATATATACCACTTCCCTTTGATGATGGAATGCTGCTCTGCACAACCCATTTGATGACTAGATGGGTCAGAAAGCACCCATAAAAGCACCATTTTATAGAGAAAATCATTACATCAGCCTAATGGTATAACCAGTTCACCATAGGCAGTTCAGGTTGCATGGTGACTTGATGACCCATAGTCAAATGTTTAGTTTCCACCAAATCCCAGTAATAGGCCAAGAGCTGTCTCTCAAAAGGAGAGTAGTTATCTTCAGAAGATGGTAGGGCCTTCCTCCAAACTCCTAGAGGTCTCTGCTCTGATTCATCTATGGGAACCTGCCAAAGGCTCCCAACAGCATCCCTATCTGCCACTGACACCTCAAGCACCATTGAATCTGCTTGGTCATATGGCCCAAGTGGCAGAACAGCTTACGCAGCAGCCTGGACCTGTTGCAGAGCCTTCTACTCTTCTGGACCCCACTCCTGGTACCAAAATCTGTATTAGGGTTTTCTTAGAGGGACAAAACTAATAGGATACACACACACACACACACACACACACACACACACACACACACATATATATACACACACACATATATATATACACACATATATGTGTATATATGTGTGTGTGTGTATATATATAGGACTTTATTAAGTATTAACTTATATGGTCACAAGTTCCCACAATAGGCTGTCTGCAAGCTGAGGAGCAAGGATAGCCAGTCTGAGTGCCAAAACTGAAGAACTTTGAGTCCGATGTTCAAGGGCAAGATGTAGGCAGGGAGGCTAGGCCTGTTTCCCCTTAACACGTTTTTCTGCCTGCTTTATATTCACTGGGCTGAATAGGTTGTGCCTATCAGATTAAGGGTGATTTTTGTCCTCTTATTTCAGCTCCTGTTATTGACTCCAGACTTACTCAGTGCAATTAAAAAATGGATATGGTTTCCATCTAGCTTTAACTCTCATATATCCTTGAACATAGTTGACCCTTACACTCTGGCTCAGTTTCTGTCTGGCTGTTGCTGGTCATTCCATAGCCTCATCTATTCTCAGCTCTCAGGACTCTACATTGTCTAGTCTTAAATTGGACTCTGAAGGAGATGGAGAGGGGGTGGTTAAATGTGGTCCATTTAGTTAATCAATGAATAGACAAATATGAGTAAAACACAACCCCTGTTCCTGAGGATTTCATGGTCCAGACAAAAAGATAAACTTTTAAACATTATTTATTATATAATACAATAATGCCACAATAAAAAGATGGGCAAATTGCTGTGGCTGGTCAGAAAAAGTTAGTAGTGTTTACTGTATCTTTTACTGAAAGGATATTTTGAAAATAATTAATTAAACTAAAAGGAAAAAAGGTTGTCCAAATTGCAGGGTTATCTCAATCACATAAATATATAAAATAAAACTGTTTTATTATATAATAATTATACAGCCTCTTCCTTATCAAATTATTTGCAAAATATCTTTATTTAGTTGTATTTAGTTGTGGCTGGGATGGTGTCTTTGTTCTCACAAATAGGATCAACATTTAAAGGCAGTTTAAAGCACCTGGGTGCAGTGGCTCACACCTATAATCCCAGCACTTTGAGAGGCTGAGGTGGGCAAATCACATGAGGCCAGGAGTTCTAGACCAGCATGGCCAACATGGCGAAACCCCATCTCTACTAAAAACAAAAATTAGTTGGGCATGGTGGTGCACATTTGTAGTCCCCACTACTCAGGAGGCTGAGGCAGGAGAATTGCATGAACCCAGGAGGCAGAGGCTGCAGTGAGTCAAGATCAGGCCACTGCACTCCAGCCTGGGTAAGAGAGCAAGACTCTGTCTCAAAGAAAAATAAAAATAAAGTCGGTTTGAAGAAATAGATCTGGCGAAAACTTTACAGAAGTTGTGAAGAGAGCAGAGCACCTTAAGACGTGAGGATGCAACTGGGTATTTTGATTTCATATCGGCTTGGGTTGTCCCTCACAGGTACCCACTATTTTCTTCTAAGGTGAACTGACTTCCACACATGTACATGAAAATAAAAAGTATACACCATTGTATAGGGGTATCTAATTCTACAAATGGTTTAAGTATTTGCAACTGTTTAAAAAGAAATTCTGCCAAACCGGTGGATTCCTCTAGCCAAAAGATTTTAAGAAAAAAAGGGTTACATAGAAACATGAAGAAGGGAGAAATGACAATAGAAAGTCATAGACCAGTATACCATTTTATAGATAAAATCATTACATCAGCCTAATGGTATAACCAGAAAGGACTCAATGAAAATGAAATAGGGAATGAAATTCATTGGTTTTTAATGAGTTTGAGAATACACATGAATTGGTGGGGGCTGTTTGTAAATGGAAAGCTATTACAAAAATAAATTCACATATTGCTTGCATAATTAAAAACATCATTTAAAAGACATAATAAAGAAGTTCTTATTGTAGAAGTCCAGATTCCATTTTATTCCCCATATCCAGTTTTCTACATAGAACCATTATTTTCAATGTTCATAAAACTTGTATTTCAATCCTTTTTAAAATGAATGTTCTCAAATTTGTGATTATAAACTCAGCATTCTGTCCTTACTGTATAGATGTTTCTAGTAACAATGGAAGGAGTCCACTCACTGCAAGAAAGTTTTTCTGGTTAACTTTATTATTCATGCCACTGTACATGTTTATTGTATGTGAACCTACATTTGTTGTATAATTAATCTTGGAAACAAGATTTTGCAGCTTCACTGCTCCAGAAGTAAAAGGAGTAAGGCTCAGGGATTTTACGCAGTTGACAAAAATATTTAATACTGATGAAAAGATAGAACTTATCTTTAGAGTTCTTTTTAATGTCTTACTTTTTAAAAAAATGAGATTTTTTAAAATCCCTGAATCTGAAGATTTATAGCTAAGAATTTTGGAAAGTGATAAACTTGAACTTTTTATTCAGTCCCAGAAAATTGCCAAAGGAAAAAATAAGTACTTTATCAAACACACATCAACACCCATATGCAAATCTACCTGTAATAAGTAAGCTGGATTACAGCATAGAGCCCAGGAGTTGGAGAAAGTGTGGTTTCCCTTCTGCTCTTCAAAGCCAATGCCACCTTCTGTATGTTGTCATGTATCTTTTCCTTGACTTCACCCTCCTTGCTCTGCTAGATCTTATTTTTTAGGATCCAGAGACACGCTGAAATACTCCCCATTCTAAAACAAAAAGCAAAGTAATACAAACAACACTGTTCCATTGACCTTGGATTTCCTCCTAGCTGTGCCCCTTCTCTGCTCTTTTTCTCATAGAAACCTCTCAACCGTGGACAGAGGAGGAGGAATTCTACAACTAAGGGCTTTAATTTCTTGCTTCTCATCTGATAGTCAACACAGCAATGTTTCTTCTAGCTGCTAATCCATATAAACCAGTCTCCTTAAGGCAACTACTGAATTCTCAGATTCAATGGCGCTTTTAGCTCTTTACTTGCTAGACTGTCAATTTCACTTACCACTGTGGATTAGCCCTCCTTGGAACTATTCCCTTGATGCTATATCAGATTTTTTTTTTATTCTTCAATTTCTCCCACCACTCTTTCTCTTATTCCTTTGTGAGTTTTTTCTTCTTGGCCATTTTTTTTTTACCATGAGATTTCTTTTGATTTCTCCCTCAGCCCACTTCTTTTTCCTTTATTTTTTTCTCTCCTTTTTTTTTTTTTTCTCCCTGGACAAACTCATGGCTTTAGCTGCTATTTATATGTAGATAAAATGTGATTTATACCTTCAAGCAGAATCATTCTCTTGAGATATAAATCTTCGTATCCGGCTTCCTGCCTGCCATAACTACTTAAAGGGCTCCAAAGCACTCTAAAGTTAGTAAGTCCAAAATTGAATAAATCCATTTCCTTCCCCAAAATGTGTTCTTAGTCTTATGCTCCCCGTCTCAATTGGTGGATCTAACAAGGTCATCCAAATAAGAAATCTGGAGTCATTGTTGACTCCTACATCTTTCCACTGCTTAATAACATTAGTGACCAAGATTTTATATTAAACATATTTAATCCTTTCACATTCTCTTCATACAGATTACCACTGCCCAACTTGGGCTTTTAAGATCTTTCTTGAAGCTATTGCAGTAGCCTCCTATTGGGTTTCTTTGCCTACATTCTTGGTTCATTTAAATGTATATATCAAATATCAGTGTCTGAGCTAAAGTCAAATCTCCCTTATTCATGTCAATGGCTTCCAGGTACATAAAGTATAAAATTCAAGTTTCTTAGACTAGCATAAAGGTCTTACTCTACCTGACTATACCTCACTCTCTCCTGCCACACCTCCATTGTAACTTTCAGCTCTGCTAACCTATTTGTAGAGACTTGCAAACTCTCTACAGCTTCTCTTTTGCATACTCTTCTTCCTTCCTGGAACTTTCTTTAGTCCTCCACTTTTTTTCACTCACCAAGATTTTACTCATGCTTTTAAAACCCAACTCTGGGACAGGTCCACTATAAACTCCCTTCCTCTTTTGGGCTCCATTAGTTCTACCTCTCTGTGCTTCTAAAGCAGTCTTTGCAGGCCTTTTCATGATTTAAGTGCATTATGTACATAAGTGACTCAAGGGCAGGGATATTTTCAATCATGTATCTTAGCACTTACAAAGTAAGATTTCTGGCTAGGTGCTGTGGCTCACGCCTGTAATTTCAGCACTTTGGGAGCCTGAGGGGGCCAGATCACAAGCGGCCAGGAGTTCAAGACCAGCCTGATCAACATGGTGAAACCCTGTCTGTACTAAAAATACAAAAATTAGCCAGGTGTGGTGGCACATGCCTGTAATCTCAGCTACTCGGGAGGCTGAGGCGCAAGACTCCCTTGATCCCGGGGGATGGAGGTTGCAGTGAGCTGAGATCGCATCTCTGCACTCCAACCAGGGTGACAGAGCCAGATCTTGTCTCAAAAAACAAAACAAAAACAAAACAAAAAAGAGAAAGTGAGATTTTTTTCTGTTCAGAAAACCATGCATTATATTCAAACTAAAAACACAGATGACATTGAAAAAAACATTCCAGTTGTTACAGGTGTTTTCTTATGAAAGAACAAAGTAAAATTTTTGATGGTATTAAAACTAAAATGGTTTCAATATGT
Organism: Homo sapiens; assembly: GCF_000001405.40. NCBI lineage: Eukaryota > Metazoa > Chordata > Mammalia > Primates > Hominidae > Homo > Homo sapiens. Next base: position 9,545,121 of record NC_000006.12, on the reverse strand, counting down.
AACTTTTGTTAAAGCAATTTTGGCCACATCAATACAAATTTGCATTTGCTTTCTCTGCTCCATCTACACAGAGATCTGCATAAAATTACAGTATCATAGAGTTGGCAGAGACCTTAAAGATAATCTATCTCCACCGAATAGCAGGTATTTGATTCTCTGCAACAAAATCCCCACCAATTGTTCACTAAGGTGTATTTAAACACCTCCAATTTGGAAGGTCTCACTTTCTCAAAGATGAACCAATCACAAATTCAAGCATTTCCACTGCTTATTAGGTTTTCCTTGAACAAAACAAAATCTGTCTTCCTGAAAAGCCTGCATTGTTTCCACATCTCTTCTCCTTAAGGTCAAACAGAGCCAGCCTGCTGCTCTTGTACTTGGCATGCCTTCAAAAGTAGTCACCTATTAGGAACTGTATAATCATGCCCTCTCCAAGCTTTCTTTTTACCTGTCTGTGGGTGATTGTATTTTAGGTCCCTTCACTGTGCTGACCATCCTCCAGGGTACATCTCCTCCAGTGTCTACTTCCCTCTTAAAAAGTCTGACTTTAGACCTGAATCCAGTGCTCCAGGAGATTCTGATTGGCACACAGAAGAGCAGGTCCATCACCTTCCAATTCCAGATGCTACATGTCTATCAACATCTGAAAGGTGCATACGGATCAAATGTACATAAATAGGTATATCATGATACCAGTACCCTAAGCAAAATAATTGATATGAAAGCAGTCTCTTTTGTCTCAGTGGGTGGTTACACAAGCCAGAGAGTCCCAATTATGAATGATACTTTTGCTGTGTTGCCCATGGCATAGAATGTGGCTGTACTGCAGAGAGTATCAATTAATTTCCACACTGCTTCTTTTCTGACACCCAAATCCTCCACCCTGTTCTCATGTATTCCACCCTATTTCTGTTTCCTCTGCCCATTACTGTGCTATTCTTTCTATTTTTACATCGCCCATTTTTCTTCTGTCTTCATGATCTGCTACTCAAATTCTCCACTCTCTCTACATGCACTGCTTTCTACCTTCTCCGACCTGCCTCTTGTCATTCAGTCATCTATATATTTGATGCTATGGTTTGGATCTGTGTCCCCACCAAATCACATGTTGAGATGTAATCCCCACTGTTGGAGGTGGGGCCAAGTAAGAGGTGATCGGATCATGGGGGCGTATTTCTCATGAATGCGCTAGCACCATGCTCTTTGTGATGAGTCAGTTTTCATGAGATCTGCTTGTTGAAATGTGTGTGGCACCTCCCACCTCTCTCTCTGGCTCCCTCTCCTGCCACGTGACATGCCTGCTCTCCCTTCAGCTTCCACTGTGATTGGAAGGTTACTGAGGCCCTCACTGGAAGCAGAGCAGATGTTGGTGCTATACTTGTACAACCTGTATAACTGTAAGCCAATTAAACCGTTCTCTTCATAAATTACCATGCCTCAGGGATTTCTCTATAGCAATGCAAGAACATCCTAATACATTTGGTAAATATGGTTGGAGTTCTAACCAAGTATTGGGATGCTGTTAGCCAGTCCTTGCAATAGACTCAATAAGGTTTCTTTATTTTGCCAAGTCAGATTGAGGTTACTCAATCTATCAAAGGTGAATACTTGTTTGAGCAAATAGTGAGCCCTGGGCTTGGGCATGTGTGCCAGTGATTAGAAAGAAACCTGTAATGCCAAAAGAGGAAATCAGTGGCAATGTAAGGAGAAAGTAACGGGATCAAAGAGGATGATGCCGATGTCCATCATACAAGGCTCTTAACAAAACTATAGGTCACATAAACAGGAGAGTTCGGAGGTATTTATGAGCACAAACTAACAGGTTAAATATTTTATGGTCTATCCATAATTTAGAATAATACGCAGTTATTAAGAATCATTTTTTCAAGAATATTTACTATTCCTAAGAGTGCATTCCCAGTTAAAAGGGGAAAATTATCATTAAAACTATTATAAAATGATCCTGAATTTATAACTTGTAGCAAATATAATAAATACATGATAAGACTTTATATTGTTTTATAAATAAAAAGAGGAAAGAAGTTAATCAGAATATCAGAATTATTGGTAATTTGTTATCTTCTTTATATAGTTCTGTATTTTTTACATTTTCTATAATAATATGAAGTACCTTATATTTATGATCACAGAAAATAAATGCCATCAAATATAAGATGGCCATAGTGACAAACTCAGTTAATACCTAAAAACAAGTGAATTATATGTCTTGTAAGTTAGATATCACATGGATAACATGTAAAATTGCACTTATAATTTGATTTAATGGTTTATGTTCTAGTATATAAAATAGTACAGAATGTTAAATATACATGAATAGAAAATGATATAAGAATTTAACATCTAACTACCTTTACGAAAGTAGTACCATTTCCCCCATTTCCCTCTTATAGTACAAACCAATCATTCAAGCATACTTTTAAATAGCATTTCTTGTATTTGAAAAGTTATTGAGTAATCAAACAGTGACCTTTCGTACTCCACCAAGAAATGCAATTCAGCTTTGTATAGCTTCCATACTAATCAATATCCTATTATGATCACAGACGAGATTTTTACAACTGAGACACAGCAGCTAGAGTACCAGATACGCTTTTGTTTTCTCTAATGCCAGAAATTTTACGCCTTTGCATAAGAAACCATTTTAAGTAGGAACATTGCATTATTTCTCTTTTGAACAGAGCAATTAAGTTTTAGGTTCTATCATAATGCTATGAGAATAGGGTGTATTAACCATCATAGAGCCATTACCTCATAAGACTTATCTTTATAAAGAATATGTGAATCTCCTTTCATCTTGCTTATTTATTCTGAATGGGTGTGTAAAGATTGATGTGTAGCATACCATTCATAAATCAGACTACAGGAACGCCAAGAGATACTCACATCTAGAGCTGATACTATTATTAGGCTCCACCAACTGATTATCTAATACAGTATTTAGTCGATTAGTTCATTAATAATGATCAAACCGGTTGTGTACATCAATACAAATATATTTAAAATACTTATACGGCACTTCAAACTCTAACTCTTTTAGAAGTACAATCCAGGCAAAGGGTTGGCTGCTGATTTTAGCCTGCATGGGCTTCCAGGGCAAAGCCAGATCTATTAGAGGTTATGGCACAAACTATCAGTTGACTTACTGATGAATTAATATCTACGTTGAGAGGATCAGGGACAACTAATTTTAAATATCTCTTTGAACATGTATATAGCCAAAGATTTATAATCATTTCTTACATTACATTTTTATGCATTAGAAAACTTACCGTAATAAATAAATATAAATATCAGGGAGAGAAAGAAGATAGAGGATTACCACTACCGCCACCATGACCCAGGGGGATATTTTGTGAAAACTCTCGTTCTACTGCTAGCTAAATGAACCAAGACAGTAAATCCACAAAGACTTAGACATCATCACTAGAAACAAAGGTTGAATTTCAAAAGCATTATTGGCTCTTCTAGCTGCTATGTAAGTTCCAGGGGAAAAAAATCCTAATGACTCTTACTATATATGGCATTCAAGGAAAATAAAATATTTTCCATAGACTAAAGAAGGGCCATATATCTATTCTGTATACTCATTTGTCTAGTATGTGTTTCTATGGCCTTTCATTACAATAAACTCTTGATATTTTGGTTTGGGGCTTATTATCCAAAAGTGAGCAAGAAAGCAAAACTACAAAGTTATGTCATCCTGACTTTGAAGAGGTTTACTTTCTGTTTTGACGTCTATTGAATCAATGGCATCAGCCTCTTTAAAAGTACGCTAAGCCAATATTGAATCTTGTAAGGGAATTGCATAGATCTCTTAGATGGTCCTAATAGAGGCTTGCCCATTTGAGTCATGGGACTAAGGAAGAAATCCAGGGGCAGTAGCGCAGAATCATTATTGGGGATTATGTTCCAAAAAAAGGTATTAAAAAAACTAATACTAATAGTGCTTGCTATAAAATATTGAAAAAAACTCTAATACTAATAGTGCTTGCTATAGGCTGTATCTGTTCCCCAACTTCTTTATACATATTATCATTTTTTAAAATCTTCACAGCTATGCTGTGGAGTAGGTATTATTATCCCCATATTACAGATGAGGAAACTGAGGCACAGAAACAAATAATTTGCCCAACATTACATATTCAGGAAGTGCCTGAGCCATGTGTTTGAACTTGGGCAGCCAGTCTTCAAAACCCCCAAGCGCATTGCTTTCCCTCTGTTTAGAAACAACGTGGCAAGAAGTGAACTACCTGCTCCTCATAGTCACTGGTTCCTTTAGACAGCAGAAATTTTCTCTCCAAAGATAATGACTCAAGGGGAAATTTTAACATCAGCAAATAGGGCTTCAATTTGACTCCTTTTATCATCAGGAGTGTGATCTAGTGCCCTCTAGAGGGCAAAAGGGGAGATCATGAGCAATGCAGATTTTTTTTATGAACATAAGCAGAAAATTTGCATTAAGACAATATAGAATTGGAAGTTTGAAAAGCCTACATTCTTATTATTAAATCTCTCTATTTAAAAAATTTTTGTAAAGTTACTTGTCTTCCTGTAATATGGAAATGATAAACTTCTGGATGTTGTACAAATGAACTGCAGCCAAGATGATAATGTGAAAATATGGAACATAAGATAGTACATAGTAAAATCTTAAAATGACAAAAGTAATCATTTAGGTAGCCCAACTTTCACAGCTGCATGATTTTAAGACACCAACAATTACTTGAAGCAGGCTCAAATAAAAGAGAAGATAATTAGTGAAAAACCCATTGTTCTTTTGCAGGGAGACTTGGTATCACTCCAATCAACACAAAATTAGGTCATCTGCATTGCACATAAAGATACTCACCAAGCACCAAAAACCTGGCCTGGTTTTGAAGAAATCTGATTTCTCTACAAACCAGTGCTTTCTAGATGTGAAAATAAAGACTTTTTTTTCTCTAAGGCAGACAAAATATATAAATAATATTTTAGATAATTGGTACTCATTAAATACTTGATAAATTAGTGAATGAATTCTGGTTCTAGTTATACTAAAGGTCAAATACGCTTTAGTTTTTTTATGTATTGTCTAACTTCTCACCCATCTTTGTTGAACTAATGAAATGAAGATATCCATCATGATGTAACTGTGAGCTGGGAGGATCTAAATTACCTTCATCTGGCACCATTCCAATATACTATAAATGAGGTAATTGTCCTTGACTATAAAATTTGCATTTTCAAGACTTAATTGCTATCATTACATCTTTTTTGTAATTCTATTAATTTAACTGAATGGAGCGGTTGGTTTTATGGTTAAAAATTTGCATTAAAACATTGTACAACTAAATAGAATTTTAATATTTTTATCCAAAGTTCTATACAGTTATCCCAGAGGAGCTAAGTAATTTCACAAGAAAAAGTAGAGACCTGTCAACAAGCAGCTTTTACCTTCAGTGATCATTAACAGACCTTCAAGTCACCTGCAAATGCCTCATTCTGGGATTTGAGAAGCCACTGAGGCCATGCACTCCATGGATTCCTCCGACTTAATCATTAACAGGAAATCTATTAGCCATAGCCAAGGCATGGCTGGGTGCCCTTTCCTATGATCGTCTTGGTGTTTGAGGTGTTTCCATCTTATCCTCAGCTGAATGGGTCATTCTATATCTCCATGTGTTTTAGTTCAGTTGGAACATGCAGTCCTCGCTGCTCTCTCTCCTCCTGAGCAAGGTATTTACATGTACGTGTCTGATCTTCCAGCCACAGTTCATTGCACAGACTGGTTAGTAAAATGTTATAATTCTTCACTCCTACTGGAGGGGGCAGTTGAGAAAACTTTCCACCTTAGCCTTTGGAATCTTTGTGGTCACTTAACAATTATGCAGCCTTTTCTTAATAAATTTTAATGTATGTGCAGAACTTTTCTAGTCAATTAACACAAGCATTTTCTTAAGTAAAGACACAGAAAATTGCAGTTAATGAAATTGACATTTTACTTAACAATTCTCCAACCCTCTAGACCTTTGAAAACTACCAGCATCTTGGTTTTTGGACAACTGAGTTTGGTTAAAAATCAGAAAAGGACTGGGGCAAAGCTTCATACAATAAAGTTTGGAAGGAGGGGTAAAAACTGAGAAGAAGCCTTTGTTTTGAAAAATTTTGCAGTGATGGTGGATTTTCCTGACTTTACTAGCCAGCTGTGAGGATGAGTGCACTCGTGTACCTTCTGATACCACTTAGTTCAGAGAAAGATGGCAAATATTTGCAGAAAGTGGATAAGGAAATGTCATTAGGGACATGAAGAGCCTTAGGCATGCTTTATACCAAGCATTAATTTTGAAGATGAAGACCAGAAGCCCAGAAAAGGTCTGTGACTTGACCAAGGACTTCCATTTAGTCAGTGGCACAGATGACCTAAAAGTCAGCATCCTTGATTCCAGTACATACTTGTAGTCACTACATCATACTTCCCTTCTAATGCCAAAAGCTCTTCTTCTGGGGAGAATCACTGCAGACTACAATCAAAGCAGCAGGGCCTGGGAGGGTTCAGTGAGAGATGGTTGACACTGGCCCCAGATGTCAGAATTAGTTCCTCATCCACCAGTCTTAATACTTCATGGATCTTCTTGTACATACTCCCAGACCCAATCCCTGAAGCCCAGTAAATTGAAGGATGTATGTCTTAAACAACCAGGAAGCCAAGTGTGTCACTTAGGTTTCTTTTTCTACCAAACTGACACGCCCACTGATTCTATACGTATCACTTTGAATTCATTCAGAGAGATTTTATGAAGTGTGACAACTCCCACGTCAAAATAAATTCTAGTTGTTCTCACCAGAAACACAGAACGGTATTGTATTATTGAGCACACCATGATGTAACTACCTAGGGATGACATCAGGAATGAGTTGTATATAAAAGGGAAGACTTTATATGAATTAGCATCCTCAAAACATTATAGTTGTGCTTACTCAAGAATTCAGTGTGGGGCATTTAGATTGAACGCAACCTATTATGTCAATCATAGAACCTATTCTACCAAGATTAATGAAATCAGCCAATTATTTTTAGGTTAATAATATTTATAAGGAGCCAGGCATGGTGGCTCATGCCTGTAATCCTAGCACTTTGGGAGGCTGAGAAGGCCACATCTCCTGAAGTCAGGAGTTTGAGACTAGCCTAGCCAACATGGCAAACCCTGTCTCTATTAAAAATACAAAAAAAAAAAATTAGCTGGTCCTGGTGGCACATGCCTGTAATCCCAGCTGCACATGAGGCTGAAGCAGGAGAATTGCTTGAACCCAGCAGGCGAGGTTGCAGTGAGCCGAGATCTCACCACTGCATTCCAGCCTGGGCAACAGAGCGAGATTCGTCTCAAAAAACAAAATTTTTTTGAAAGATATTTCTTGCTTAAACAGGAAATGAATTTCCTTATCTCTGCCTTTTCTGTCCCCAATCCTTCCCCACAATGTGATTAATCATAGCTTAGTATGCATTGTGCTTTGTAGCTTTAATGCACAATAATATTTCAAGAATCACACTAGTGACTTATTTAGGGAAGGTCACATAAATCACAAGTTTATTGCCACCATGAGCCAATGGAAAAGACTTTGCATAAACCTCAGCTATAATTCCCTCCCCCCTCATTTTCTCTGAACACTTCAACTCAAAGAAGTCTGACTCAATTTAATAAACATTTAATGAATTTCTACTATGTTCAAAGCACTGTACCAAGTACGAGGATCTTAGAAATGAGTAAAGCATATCCCTCTACCTAAGGCATGTATTTTTCTTGTCTGGATAGCTATGACTGCTATCACTTACCTGCATCTTCTAAGCTACTTAAATTTTTGTGTTTGTAGTTATATTCTAACTCCCAAGTTATTTGCTAAGGAAGCTGGAGTTTGAAGATACGCCTTGTTTTTATATTCTGACCAGTGTGATCCTATATCCTGCTTTGCCTGACTGGCTTTTCTTGTCTCAGGATAATTAGTAATAGCACTCCATTCCCCACCAATATATTCTACTTTGAATAATACATTCTGTCTGCACAACATAGTATCCAGCCTGTTGTTGGCTTAGAGACCAAAATAGAGAATGATGGGAAGGGTAGAGCTTTATAGTCCCAAACCTGTGTTTGATCCCTGCTCCAGCCCTGACCAAATGATAGCAGGTTTTTTTTTTTTTCTAACTTTCCCAGGCCTTAACTTCCTAATAAGCAAAATGGTCAAGGTGACATCAACACCATAGGGTTGCTGTAAGACTAAAGGGTTTTAAATGCTGGAAAGCAATTTGCAAACACAAAGCACTATCTAACCATTCCAGTAAATAATTATTGTTGGTGACTATGATATAGGCAGTGTGGAAGGTCACAGGTCTCGGAACTAAAGTGTGTCAAGTCTAATCTTTAATATTTAGGATTAATAAAGGCAGGGCTAAGAGTATAGCCCAAGTATTGCTGAGCAATTAGCCAAATATAACTGAATAAGAATAACAATGATAATATCCACAGCTATAATTTATTATGTCTATATGGTATACTATGTATTACAGGTACTCTGTATGTACTAGTACTAATTGTTATATTTTCCCGTTTTATAAATGGGGACATTGAGGTCCAGAGAGGCTGAATAATTTATAATGGGCACAGCTTAATGAATGACTGAGTTTGCTTTCAAATAAATCTTTCATCATTTCCAACCACCTTTTGCTGTGTGCTGGCACCACAGGAAATTCTTAGTGCACTCACTGTCAAATAAAAACATACTCCCACACACATACACATGCACACATACACTCACACGCACATGTGTGAGCACACATGCACACCAAGCAGATAGACAATGTAACAAAGAATGCTATGCACACACTGCACAGAAAGATGATGGTCCAAATCAAAATGCTTTAGTCCTGATTTTCTTCAAGATACCTATCAATAATAAACTTTCGGGCTGGGTGTGGTGGCTCACACCTGTAATCCCAGTATTTGGGAGACCAAAGTGGGCATATCACCTGAGGTCAGGAGTTTGAGACCAGCCTGGTGAACATGGTGAAGCCCCGTCTCTACTAGTAACACAAAAATTAGCCGGGCTTTGGTGGTGGGTGCCTGTAGTCCCAGCTACTCCTGAGGCAGAGGCAAGAGAATGGCTTGAGCCCAGGAGTCAGAGGTTGCAGTGAGCCGAGATCGCCCCACTGCACTCCAGTCTGGGCAACAAGAGCGAAACTCTGTCTCAAAAAAACAAAAAACGAAACACAAAAAAAACTTTTGGTGGGGGAGTTTGGAGGAGAGTTCTTCCTTCAATCATATGCAAAATCTAACAAAAAGTTTTCTATAAAAATACTCGATTTCAATATTAAATTCTCATATATTTTAAATAACTACTAGTTATTTTAGGTTATTTTTGCTTTAAATAACTACCAAGTAAACATTGTAAATAGTTTTAAGTTTAAAAGTGTGTGTTAACTATTTACTAAATAACAGGAGTTACTGTTATTTTCATATCTCTACTACTGCGTTAAACTCTGGGTCTACATTATTTCCTTCTTTAAAAAAATAATATTGCTTTTTATTCGCAACACTCTTTATTAGGCAATAGCAATATGCTCTCTCTACATTTCATTTTATTTATTATGTATTTCAATTACTTTATTTGAATGTTAAAGCTGTCAGCTTTTGGTGAAAATGTATAGAGACATTATAGTAATAATTTAAACACTTCTCTGCATGAAGTATTTTTTTCTGAATTCTTATAAAAAATTGCAAATACTAACACTACATGACTCAGCATTGCACTTTACACACAATTTGAAGAGGATCATTTTAACCCACTAGTACTGAAACATTTGTTTTAGTTCTCCGTCTCTCAACAATCTAGAGGAACTCAGATGCTTGGACCAATCTTGCCAAACATTCTCGTGTATTCTGCTGTGAACTGCCCCACCTTGTATACCACTGCCAGTAACAAGTTCAAGAGGAATGAGAGCTGTTCATCATATGCTGAAGGTCAAATATAATAATATTGTGAGAGTCATTGCCAAACTTAAAATTATAGACTTTCCCCCTAAATATTTAGTGAGCGACTTCTCTATGCCAGGAACTCTACTATGCACTGGGAATAAAAATAAAATTAAAAAATAAATCATTATTGTCATCATCTGTGCCCTTAAAGAACTATAGTTCAGGATGAAGACACATAAAAAAGAACAATTGGCCGGGCGTGGTGGCTCCCGCCTGTAATCCCAGCACTTTGGGAGGCCAAGTCAGGCAGTTCACTTGAGGTCAGGAGTTCGAGAGCAGCCTGACCAACACGGTGAAATCCCGTCTCTACTAAAAATACAAAAAAAAAAAAAGGTAGCTAGGCATGTGATCTCAGCTACTCAGGGAGGCTCAGGCAGGAGAATCGCTTGAACCCAGGAGGCTGAGGTTGCAGTGAGCCAAGATCACATCATTGCACTCCAGCCTAGGCGACAGAGCGAGACTCAGTCTCAAAAAAAAAAAAGAACAATTAATTAAAATGCCTTCTGATAAATGTTATGATGGCAGTAGGCATGGGATTCTACGGGGCTGTGTACACAGGAGACCCCTCTAATCTAGACAATTAGGGAGGGTATAGGGTTGCGTTATTGGGTGTGGCAATTTAATTTCAATCTTGAGAGTAACATGGGAAGATGAGATCTGAGCACTGAAGGACAGTCCAAGGTCCAGAGTTAAGAAGGGAGCTGTGCCAAGGTAGGTTTTATGTTTTCCTTTAAAGATGGAATGATTAGATGGGCCTTCTAGAGATAGTCCAGAGTCCTAGGTTACAGGGCTGTGCTCTAAGTCCTGCCTTTTTTTAATGATGATATATTGGGTAAGTTTCATAATACCTCTGAAGCCAGTGTACTCCAGAAAAGTGAACATCATCTTTGCTTCTTACCATTGAAACTATGAGGATAAGATGAGGTAACACAAATGAGGTAAATGACCCTTGAACAACCATACAGTAATCCCTGCAAGAACTGGGAGCAGAAACAAGACCCGAATCCTAAAGGAACGGACGTAGAAAGCAAGGACTGAGAAAAGTGACGAGTTACTGAAACTCAACATTTGACCCTATGCCAGAACCTCACTATGCCTGGTTCGAGGCTGCCTGCTTCCCTGATGCATTTGCTCAGCTGTCTAAACCTCTCAGCCAGTTTCTTTCCTTAGAATATCTTGACTCCGCATCCTCCACATTTTGAAACCTCCACAACTTAGTAATTGTCAAGACCCACAAGTCTGACCTTTAAACGTTAATTTCCAATGCCATCTTTTTTCTACATTGAACTCAAAAAAGGTTAAAGGGAAGCAATGGGTTCAATAATTTTGCTAAACTGTAACTATGAAAATGGCACACTTGTTAAAATTATTATGTACTATGGTGCAAAATCTACCATGCCTACTTTTGTTTTTTGATATTGATGACATAAAATAGATTTACTTTTTAGAAGAGGCAAAATCACTTACTAGCTAGAAGTATATTCTCTAAAGCCAGCTTGTCCATGTTTAAATCTCAGATCTACTACTTGCTAGCTGAGTGACCTGGAACAAATAATTCAACCTCCCTTTGCAACTGTTTCCTCACCTGTAAAATGGGATAATACTGTCTACCTCATAGAGTTCTTGGAAAGAATGAATGAGGTAATTCACATAAAACTGTCAGAACAATGCCTGCCACATAATAAATGTTCAATAAATGTTGGCTGTTATTGTATCCAGCACTGGGGTCACAGCAAGTCACCTTGTTGGCACTCAATAAAATCTGTGGTTGAAAGGAATGATTGACTCAAATGAGTAGCAAATAATGACATAACACTTCATATAAGTTCATTTTAATAAAATTATCCCTGGAGAAGCATACCTAAAAGCAAACTCAGGCATTAGTGGACATGAAAAAGATATACGTGAGAATTACAATATTCAACAGCAAACATTTTTTAACAGGAATAGGGGTAAGTTTCTGTCTGAGGGCTGTTGCAAAAACTCAAAAAATGCTTTGCCTGTTACAGAGTGATAAATTGTCACAAAGGGAAAACTTCAAGGAGTCAGAGAGCATTTAAAGCATTGAGTCATGAGAGCTCCTTCCAAAGAAACAATACCTTCTGCTGTTTTTCACTTGCACTTAAATTATCAAAACAAAGTAGCAATGATGAAACTTATTATTTTAATCAAGCTTGCACATTAAAATCCCACCTCTCATCACTTTAGCCAAATGTCACTGTCGGAGTTGTTTTGATATTCTGCCACCATGTGTGTTGAAATCGTTTTGTGTAAAACTTTACTCTGGAAAACAAAGGTGTGTATATTTGGAAACAACCAACTGGCTTGCTGAGTCATTGGCTTCCATCTCATTATCTGATGTAGATCTAGCTGATGTGTAGCTTCAGTACTGAGGCAGTTGTTGAGAGCATCTGTACTGCTAGGACTATTTTGTAAGAAAGGGTGCAGAAAACAGCCAGTCTCTGAAACTAGCCCCAGCAGGTCAACCCAGATAGGCAGCATTTCATTTTCAAAGGAAGTATTTCCCCCTTTCAACAATGTCTGGGACATTCTGCTGTCAATAATGACTTGACTCCTACATACACGTACTACAAATTGTTCCCCAATGTGGTTGTACCAATTTATTCTTCCACCAGAAGCACATGAGACTTCCATTTTTTCAACACTCTTAGCTTTCTTTTTTCAAAATATTTAACTTTTATCACTTGGATAAAAACACAAGGTATCTCACTTTAATTTGCAACTCCTTTTTGATTAGTGGAATTGATCATGTTTTCATATGTTTAAGATCATTTAGTGTTTCTGTCCTATGAATTGCCTGTTCACATGCTTTGCTCATTTTTATGTTGGATTCTTTCTCTTAGTGATTTATTATATTTCCTTATATATTCTAGATAAGCTTTTCTTTGTGCCCTAGATTGTTTTTGTTCTTTAGTCTGTAGCTACTATTTTTAGTCTCCTTATATTGTCTTTTAAAATACTTTTACTTGACAATGATCTCAAACATACAGAAATGTTTTAAGAATAAAAATAGTACAAAGAACACATCTGCACATTTTACTTAGATTTTTTGTTAATATTTTTACCCTATCTATATGTATAGATGTTTGAATACATATATGGAACATATATGTATATATTTTATATATTTTTAAAATCTTAATTTTAATTTAATAACTTTTCTAGGTTTCTTCTTCATGGCCTGTATTTTAGGGTCCCTAAGAAATTATTCCTTAACCCTTAATTTATTAAGATATTCTTCTATATTTCCTTCTAGGAATGTAAAGCTTTGTCTTTGTACTTAAGCTATAAATCCACACATTTTTGTGCAGGATATGAATTCGAAATCTAATTTTTTTTCCTACAGATTAAAAAGTATTTGCATTACTATTAAATGCATCAGCCATTATCTCCATATTAATTTATAATTTTACTTCTGTCATGGGAGATAGACATCTATATATAAATACACACACACATACACATATATACACAAACCACTGGAACAGAGCAGAGACACACATAAATATATATATATGTACACCTTAGTATATAAGTGCAGTGTACAGTATACTATATATGTATATGTATAAATATAGTATATATGTATGTACTGTGTATATACATGCATGCATATATATGTATATAGAATATATATACACACACATATATATACTATAAACATATATGTATATATGTAAATACATATGTACAGGTGTCTGTTTTCATAGTTTCTGTTCTATCCTTGTTTAGTAATTGAGCTAATAATATAGTACTTGCAAGTATATCTTACTTGTCTTCACAAATTTCTCCCATCTTGCCATTCTCCAGTGGTGTCTTTTTTTTTTTTTTTTTTTTTTTTTTGGCCATTTTCATCTTCTGTCACCATTTTATTTTAAACAGCAGCTTTTTGGTATTTTATTGACTTCAGTTTAATTTAGAGATTAATTTGGGAATTATAACTTCTTTTTTTTCTTTTCAACTTCTATTTTACACTCGAGAGTACAAATGCAGTTTAGTTACATGGGTAAATTTTGTGTCACTGAAGTTCGGTGTACAAATGATTTTGTTACCCAGGTAGTGAGCGTAGTACCCAATAGGTAGATTTTCGAACCTCACCTTCCTCCCACTCTCCTCATTTTGTCTATTGTAATAAACTTTATTCAGTTGCAGTATTTCTATTTTCCACCACTGAAGACTTTGATTTCCTAATAATTTATTTAGGATTTCCGCATGTATCTTCACACAAGGGGATGGCCTATATATTTTTCTTTTTCCTTATCTAATTTGGAATCAAATTTATTATATTTATTGGCATACTTTTAAAAACTATCTACTAAATCTAACTTACTAATTGCCTTTTGTGTTGTGACTTTTCCTTTTTGTTTTGTTTATTAATCATACTTGAAATTTGTATGCTTTATTACTTCTTTTTCAAAAATATAGGCAACTGCTTCTATGGATCTTATGTTTTTCATTTTTTATTAGCACTTAAAAATTTTTATTCTCTCTACTTGCTTTAGGTCCATCTTTCATTATTTCATAGCTTTCTGAATATGTCACTCCCCCATTTTCAGTCTGTCTCTTTAAAAAAAATATAAAGATGTTCAAGGTATACAATAAACCCTAAACTGCACTTTCTCTGTATTGCTAAGCTTGGCTATAATTCTCCTTCACTCTTGTTCAGTTCAAAATATATTGTTTTCCTTGAGATTAACCCATAAGTTGATTAGAAGTCCTTTTGAAAGTTTTCAAATGTCATCGACATTTAAATTATTTTTAAACTTTTGTGTTTAAAATTAATCATATATTGTATGATAGTTACTTGAAATGTATTGAGACTCCACTGTGTCCTAATACATGATTAATTTCATAAATGGTTTATGTGTACTAGAAAAAGATAAATATTTATATGTTTTATATATATCATATGATTAAATGTACTGATTACATTGCTCAAATTTGTTTTTTATCAATTTTTTAATGTATTTGAACTGTAATTTCTGAGAAATGTGTGTTAAAATTTCTCACTATGATTGAGAGTTATTTTGTCACTTTTGCTTTATATTTTGAAGCTATGCTTTTATGTTACTAGACTATGACTATCCCTAGATGATAACCATTATAATTTTTAGATAGATTAGTTCTTTATTTATAATTATTATCTATATTCTATTACAATCAATTCATTTTCTATAAATTCCTTTGTCCTGTTATAATTTTTCCATATCATATGGAAATTTTGTTTGGAATTTATCTGTTTTTTCTCTTTTTATTCTTTTATTTTCAGACTTTGTGTAGGTTTATTTTGGGTATATTTTTCCTAAGAGGCATAGTGAGCTAGGATTTAAAATTTATTACAAGCCTTTGTCATTTGATACATTACTTTAACACATTTACTTTTATTGTATGATAAACATATCTGGACTTATTTTTACCATTATTTATTCAATTGCTCACTAACATTTTCTTTTCTCATTGCTCGTTCTCTTCCCTTTTTAAAATTAACAACTTTTAATTATTTTTTCATTTGCCATTTCCAAAGCTGTAGATTGTATTTCCTTGATTTTAAGGGTTCGCTTATTTTAATATTCATGCTTAACTATCAATTTTTTATAAAACCTTTGGGTTTTCAGCTTTTTAATTTTGTTATTAAAATCAGAAGTACCTTGATACTCTTTAATCATATGTTGAAAAGTCTCCAAATCAAAAATAATATTGCTATTTTAAACATTTTTAATTGATTTTCTGTAGATTTATCAATTTATTCTATTCATTTCTGTATTCAGTGTTTCTTTTATCCCACACTTAAATATTCCCTTTTATCCCGATCACATTCTTTTTTAAGAATATGATTGTGGTAATTCCTCTTAGTCATTTTATATGGAAACTATCAGTAGTCTGTGATGACAAATTGAGCTCAGATCTGTCTCCATAATTACTAGCTATATGATACTGGGATGTTACTTATTCTGCATCTTAGTGTAAGCATGTAATAATGATCATTTCTAAGTCATAAGGGAAAATGAAATTTAGATAATACATAAAATGGGTTTAGGACAGTGTTTGGCATATGGCAAACATGCAATAAATGTTTCCTATGTTTATTACTACTCTGCTTTTTTTTCTTTCATTTATTAATTTAACTTAGAAATACTCCTGAGTTTACTAAAAAGTTGCAAAAGTATAGTGCCAAGGATTGTTTTCCTGGACAATTTGACAGCAGATAGCCAACCCGATGCTTCAACACTTTAATGTTTATTTTTATAAACAGACATTTTCCTACATGACCACGGTAAATCATCAAAATCAGAAAATAAACTGATATATTACCATTAAACCTCAGCGTTCCATTCCAGTTTTCCTAATTATCAGAAAAACGTTCCTTATAGGAAAAAAATCAGTTCAGAATCATGAATAGCATTCAATTGTCACACTTTTAAGCCTCCTTCAATTTGGAATAGTTCCGGGTGCTTTCCTGGACTTCTATATTTTTCACACTTTTTAATCTTATAGATCAGGTATTTTGAAGAGTGTCACTTAATTTGGGTTTGTCTGATGTACCCTAGAGTAGATTCAGGTTACAAAGCTTTGACAAAAATATTATGGGAGAGATGCTGTATTCTCATTTCATCTTATCAGGCATCACATAATCTAAATTTATCCCATTACAGATGATCACAGTGCTCACTTGGCTAAAGTAGTATCTGTCATATTTCTTCATGTAATGTGACTTTTCAAAATTTTATGATTGTGGCAGCTTTGTACTGTTTCACCTTAGCTAAGCTTGAACTTTGATTCCCAGATTCCTTTGCCAGTATGATTCTGAGCTAGAATTGGCCACAAGAGAAAGCTGGGTGAGATCTGGAGGGCAAACGGGAAGTAGCAGCCACGTTTATGATTGAAAGGTCTGTGTCCTGTCAGGTGCTGTTGTAGCTTGTGAACATTCTCACAAATTTGCTTTCTCATCTGGTTGACATGAGCCAGCAGGAGAATGCACAGCTTCTCCAGCTCCTGTTGGAACTGTGCCAGGTACATGTTTAGTTTTGTGACAATGGGCATCAGTTTCTCCTACAAATCACCTCCTCATCAGCGTTGCAAGCAGTGGGACACCAGCATAGGTTCAAACCCCGGGGTTCCAATTTTCCCTTGCTGTCCCCACTTCACAATCATGTTTCTTTCCTGACTGCCTGTGCTGCTGACTCCTGGCCCAGCAACAGAGGCAGAAGTAGAAGCCATATGTAAATTGCATAACCAGAACCCATGATTGCATCATCTCTATAATAAATTCTTTATTCCATATGACTCTTAGTACTTCTGTTTCTCTGATCAAACCATGACATAGAGAACTGAAAAATACCTTTACTTACCAGTTTACCTAGAAAGCCATGAGTATAGGTCCCATTCCAAGCCTAACCATGAGGTTCATCTTTGCCTTCTTTTTCCATATTTAGAACTCTCTTTAATAGTGAGAAACATGGCTTCCAGTAGAATCAATAAATTTACTTTCTTGTTTAATCCCCCCCAATGTAATCAATTTCTTACAGGTATCACTGCCCCCTCCCGACGCAGATGCCATCCTCAACTTGCTAGGCACAGACGCCCCAAGCCCACTTACTTCTCCACGTGGGCACCTCCTTACTCTGCTCGGCCTCTGACATCTCATGTCAGTTGAGTCTGCTCACCCTGCTAGGATACTGGTACCTTATCCTGGGCTGCTCCTAACCCTCATGTCCACACTTTCCTTATTCTGCTCAGATTCTGATACCCATGCACCCACTTCCTTTTCTGTCTCTTACCCCACACGTGGTATGGATACCTGTGTTGTTTGGCCCCATCTAATGTCTTTAGGACTGACTTTTTCAAGAAGGATAAGAAAGAAGAAGAGAAAGAAAGCTGCTCTTATGTTTATATGATAGTTCATCTTGAATAGCTTTCTTTTCTAAAACTAACATTTGATTTATTGAAGTTATACATTTATACAAAACCTGGTTTATTTAAACCTTTAAGTTTAACTTACATACTTTGCCATTTTATTTTAAAGTTAAGTATTTTTCTTATAAAAGTAACATTTTCTTTTACTTGTTTTTGGATTAAAATTTGATTAATTCAATTTGAAGAGATTAAATTTCTCTGAACAATTTGCTTCATTAATAAGCAGATTTTTAAATTGCCTTAAAGATCACATTTTTATGCATAAGTTTAAAATACTCAACATTGTAGCCTTCAAATGTCCAAAAGTGAAGATTTTTAACCCAACAAAACTTTCCGAACACTTTAGTAACTCTTAAAAAGCGAATAAATTAAACATATAAACATAGAAAACACATTAGCTAAAGCATTGCAATAGTGTTTATAAACTTGCAAAATTTTCCCACACCTAAGACCTTAAAGTCACAAGACTTCATATGCCACATTTTAAAGACATGATAAACATTTTAAACAACAAACACAAATTATCTTAAAGTGAATATAAAAATATTAATAAGAGTTTTCATGCTCTGTGACTTCTGTACTTAATTCTAAAGGTTCCCAGAGTTGTAAATTAATTTAGCTAAGTTCAAAAGAACACATTTTAAAATCAGACAGCTAGAAATCAGGATCCCAAATAGATATTAATCTCTTCATATTCATTGCAGCATGATTCACAATAGCTGAGACATGGAAACAGCCTAAATGTCCATCAAAAGATGAATGCGTAAAGGAAATGTGTATACATACAATGGAATAATATTAAGCCTCAAAAGGGAAGGAAATTCTGTCTCAGGCTACACACAGATGAATCTTGAGGACACTGTGCTAACTGAAATAAGCCAGTCACAGAACGACAAATACTGAACGGTTCCACTTATATGGGATATCTAAAACAGTCAACTTTATAGAATCAAAGAAATTGAATGGTGGTAGCCAGGGGCTGGGACACGATGTGGGGGATGGGGAATGAATAATCAATGGAGCTAAAGTTTGAGTTAAGCAAGATGACTAAGCTCTAGAGATCTGCTGTACAACATTGTACCTAGAGTCAATGATAAAGTATCGCATATTTACAAATGTTTTAAGAGGGTAGATCTCATAAGTGTTCATACCACAAGAAAATAATTATGAGCTTACATTTCTCCATCACACAATGGTGAAAAAAATTATCAAGGGATAGCTAGCAACCTTGCAGGAAAAACATTTCTTACTATAACCCAAATGACCCTACATATAAAGAAATTAACCAACATTGAAAAGTTAAGAAACAGAAACAAAACAATTAAAAAGAAGAAAGAAAAACAAGAAAATGAGCGTAAACTCTGAAATCAGTGTATAAAAATATAAGCTGAAACTTTCAAGTGATGAAGAAAATTAGCTGCAACCTAGATGAGGTTAGATTTCCATCTACTCAAATCAGAAGACAAAACATGTAAAAGACTACTTAAAGAACTGGGTAAGGAGTTGTATGAAAGATCTCCAGGTGAATTCCAGGTGACAGTGTAGACTTCTGGGCTTTCAAGGACAGTGAATTGTAAGAATGATCCCAGGGTATCTACCATGTACAATTTGGGTAGAATCCCACTGAAACTAGTTCTTACGTCTCAGGCCCGGCCTGGCACATCTGACCTCTAGGCAAACATCTTAAAGTGTCAATTTTTTCCATCTGGTAATTGCAATCTGTCTGATTTTAAAATAGTTTTCAAAGTTAAAAGCTTATTTGTTTTTTTTTTCTGTAAATTTTAAAGGTATTACTGCTTAATGCATAGCTTCTCTTGTTGCTTGACAAGAGTGATGTTGATTCTCATTGTCCTCTTAATGTAGGTAAAATTTCTCCCTGATTGCTTTAGAATATTAATATGTTTTTCTTTTGCTTATGTTCTGCAGTTTTGCTACAGCATGTCTATATACAGATTTAGCTATTTATTTTCTGTTGGGTACTTACAGTAGCCTTGTGTTCTGAAGACCTTATATATTTCTTAAATACTGAAAAAAAAAAAAAAAACCCAGCAGTTCCTTTTAGAAGTATTACCTCGTTACCATTCCGCGCACTCTCTTCTAGTTGTTTTTTTTTTTTTTTTTTTTTTTTTTGAGACGGAGTCTTGCTGTGTCGCCCAGGCTGGACTGCAGTGGCGCGATCTCTGTTCACTGCAAGCTCCTCCTCCCAGGTTCACGCCATTCTCCTGCCTCAGCCTCCCGAGTAGCTGGGACTACAGGCACCTGCCACTACTCCAGGCTAATTTTTTTCTTTTTTCTTTTTTTTTAGTAGAGACGGGGTTTCACCGTGTTAGCCAGGATGGTCTCAATCTCCTGACCTCGTTATCCGCCCGCCTCCGCCTCCCAAAGTGCTGGGATTACAGGCGTGAGCCACACCACCCGGCCTGTCTTCTAGTTCTCTTATAAGACAAAGGTTGGAAGCTCTCAACTGATCTACTTTCTCTTCTCCTGCTTTTTAAAATTTTGTCTATTTAGCTCTGTCCTGAGTTCTTGTTGGAATCTTTTGCAATTCAATAATTCTCACTTCTGCCGTCTATAAACTATGGTCTGTCCTGCCTTTTTTCTTGTTTGAATATAATATTCTATGAATGCTAGAGCCAGACTACTCTTCCACATTCTAGGTGTATGACCTTGGATAAGTAACTTCATCGCTGTACCTCAGTTGTTTTCTTTCTTTTTTCTTTTCTTTTTTTTTTTGAGATGGAATCTCGCTCTGTTGCCCAGGCTGGAGTGCAGTGACACGATCTTGGCTCACTGCAAGCTCCCTCTCCATGGTTCAGGCCATTCTCCTGCCTCAGCCTCCCGAGTAGCTGGGACTACAGGCGCCCACCACCACGCCTGGCTAATTTTTTGTATTTTTAGTAGAGACAGGGTTTCACCGTGTTAGCCAGGATGGTCTCGATCTCCTGACCTCGTGATCCGCCCACCTCAGCCTCCCAAAGTGAGTTGTTTTCATTTTTAAATGAAGATAATAATAGTATCTACCTCGTTCAGTTGTAGTAACATACTAATTCATGCAAAACATTTAGAAAATTATCTGGCCTAAAATATGCCAGATTATTATTATCTTTACCTGTTCTTGATTTACTTGTGACTGGTTTTGTTTTACAAGTTTTAAAAAATAAGTAGAATTCATGTTTTCCTTTTGAACGTTTAATACATATCTCAAAAGCCTGGTCAGACTCATCTATACAATTCATTTAACCTATAACACATTTTTATTCCAAGTGGTTTTAACTTACTTTATTCACTTTCTTATTCACATGCCTTAGAAATTTGGTTTATATGCTGGCAATGAGTGGAACCATCCCAAAGCCTTTACTCCCCATCTCTGTGCTAAGCCCTCCCTGTCCAATGATTTTCTGTTTATATGTATAGCCTAATCCAGAATCAGGTCAAGTCATAGAAGCAGCTTTCCTGACTCAAAGCCAGGCTGGGGATATCACATATCTCAGGAATGAGCTCAGAGGGCAGCTGACTTAGCTCCTGGTTGAAAATCTGCACTTGGTTTCTTGATGTGTTATGTTCCAAGAGTCATGGCTGCAGACAGAGATTAGTGATGACTTTTTGTCTTACTTTCAGGTTTCAAATTGTGAGGAGGCTTTTTTCTTCTTCTTTTCAATTCTATTTGAAGTTTAATCTCCATTTTCCTTCAGACAAACTCAGTCGCCACGACCTGCATTCAACTTTTCATTTCTTGCCCCTCACCATTTTATGTTTCTGCTCTCTTTCTGGCAACAGAGATGTTTACTGTATTTTTGATTCTGGCTATGTCCTCTTAGTTTTTCTCGTTTTTTACTTTTTATCTGCCACGTGCATATGTTTGAAGCAAGGAAGGCATTTGAAGCTTGATCTGCCCACCTGATTTCTAGATAGTCATGTTTCTCTTGTCTACACTTTTATTCTGTTCTTCATTTTTAGATTGACACAAATTGCTGGTGGGTATGTTGCCAGTTTTCATATCACAAGTAGATATGCACACCCAACACAACACACACACACACTCACATACACTCACATGTGTAGATCATTTGCCCAGGCTCAGAATATTGAACCTCTCTTGTGACACAAATTCAACATTAACAAAGCAATTCTTATATTTTTCCAGGATGTTAGAAACCAATCAGAGTTTTGTCTTTTTTTTTCAGTTGTGTTCTAAGAAATGTACTAATGTGTTCCAAGTGTTTATAAAAGTATTTGCAAGAAAAAATTATATTTGGGATTATAGTTGACCGAGCTGTTGGGGACTCTTATCCATTGTGAATGATAGTGCAGCTTTACCTCCAATAGGCTATGTCTTTTTCTTTCATGAATGCCAGTACTGACTACTGTTTAGTCCAGTTTGTTACTGATATGAAATGTCATCTTTCCAATGCTTTAAAGATATAACCTGTTAGAAGGTTTTTGTTTTGTCTTGAACTAGAAAAACGATAGTGGCAAAACACTGATAATTTTGCAGCAGTGAATCCTCTTTCAAAACGACAGTTCTCTTTGATCAGACAAAAGCTAGAAAATGTATTGTCACTTTTAAAACTACTTAATCTTTATTACCTTTTGCATGATGTTTTCAACAATAATAGAATGTTAACGAAGAACAATTTTAGTGGTGTTTCCAGTCAATAAATGGCACATACCAAAGCAAAAAACGTGGGAAAACCAGTTTTGCAGCACTTTTCTGACCATCTAGCTCTGACACTGAAAAAAAAAAAAAGGCTGAAGATAATTTTTGGATTGTGCCTTGGGTCCTGTGAATTCTACTCCTTGTCCCAGATGTGGCTGCATGCATGAAAGAGCTGGGCTGAGATTATCTTAGATTGTGTTGGAGAGAGCTTTCTAATGAACAAAGAACATTTTCAAATGTTCAAATGTTGTGTAAATTCAAATGTTGTGTAATAAATATTATGATGACGGTAGGCCTGAGATTCTACAGGGCTGTGTACACAGGCAAGGCCACTGATCTAGACCGTTAGGGACACTGTGACCATGTGACCTACAGGAAGAGTTGTATTTGCATAAATTAAAGTAATTGCTGAAGACGAATCCTTAACAATGTAAGAGGAGGCACTAGAAATGACCCACAAAAGAGTCACATAAAATATCTGCCAAGTTCAAGAACCAATGCAATTTCCCAACAATATTAATCTAATAAGACGTTTTGCTCTTCTCCCTTCTGCCCAAACTTCTCCCTCTCTCCCATTCTGGAGGGTCCGAAACCAAGCTCGGTGGGATGGAGAAGAGGAGGTAATGTATAAGGCAGGGGAGGGGAGAGTAACCAGCCCTCTTACTACACAGGCCTGGGCTGGACAATGGCAAGAAGCCCTTACTTATTAAATTTGAGGATGGTACCACTATGTGGAGATGATCTTTTTAATCACTGAACAGAAACTGATTTCATTATTTGCCTGTAAGCAGAAAAACCAGAGGACTTGTCAAAAATTGCATCCAAGCATAGGGGAAAAACAAGCCCCATATAATACACATGAAAGATCAAAATAAAATCCTTCTTTGATTATCCTGCAAGTTATGTTTCTTTGGTGTAACATTTATACATGTAAAATGGGATTAATAATATAATAATAATAGTTACCTGGGATGGTTGTTGTGATAATCAAGAGAGACAATATGTGTCAAAAGATGACATACACCTGGCTTAAAGAAAGTATTTGCTGCTATTTTAATAGTCTTCCTGTTGTAACTTTATCATGCAAAATCACGTGAGTGGGCTGGAGAACTGAATAGATTAGTAAAGGGGAAAAACAAATTATGAAGAAGAGACAGAAATGGAAAACCCCACTGATTTGCCGATTATGTGCAGTGCATAGGGAAAGCCCACAAGGTGAGAGGCTGAGAATGGCTATGGGGGAGATAGGAATCAAATCATCGTTACCCAGAGGCTGCAAGAGGTTTTCACATCAGGCCTCCAAGACCAAATTGTCACACAGGTCACTACCTTGGGCCTGAGAAGTCAGTTTATCTGCCTGGTCTTTTGTTTATTTATTCAGCTAAAATCTTTGATATTTTCTGTGGAAGTCTGTGAGACAGAATCATGGCAGTCAGAAGAGAAACAAGTTATCCTGTTAAAAAGGTATTCTTTATTAAGTTTAAAAATTTCCCCCAATAGTTCATTGAATGACTCACTTTCCGAGGATTTTTTCATGAATATGTGGTATTTAAGGATGTGACTCATATTCTTAGCAACGTTGTAAATTTGACACATTAAGACAAACGGTTGAGACACATACAGAACAATAATGGGCTACTAATGCAGGAAAAAAATCTTTGAAATCAAGATGAGACTTCTGTTTATATGGTGATATGCCTGGATTTCATATTAGCCCATGTTTTATATTTGAGCCGAAATGTTAAAATCCAATCACCATAATGTTCTGAGCTACATGTTTCCAAAACAGCTGATATGGTTTGGATATTTGTCCCCTCCAAATCTCACATTGAAATGTGACCAATGTTGGAGGCAGTCCTTGTGGGAGGTGTTTGGTTCATGGGGGAGGATCCCTCATGAATGGCTTGGTGCTGTCCCCGCAGTAATAAGTGAGTTCTCGCTCTGTTTGTTCACGGGAGAGCTGGTTCTTTAAACAGCCTGTCATCTCCCTTTTGCTTCCTCTCTCGTCATGTGATATGCTGGCTCCCCCTTTGCCTTCCACCATGATTGTAAGTTACTTAAGCCTCATCAGAAGCCAAGCAGATGCTGGTGCCATGCTTGTATGGTCTGCAGAACTGTCAGCCAAATAAACCTCTTTTCTTTATAAATTACTCAGTCTCAGGGATTCCTTTATAGCAATGCAAAACAGACTAAAACAGTAGCTGATCAATTCACTTCACATTTCAATTTCAATTTTTTGAAATTCAATTTTTATTTCGATTTTTTCTCCCACTTTCATAAAATAGTTAACTGAATTCTGTATGGAATTCCTAGGATGCTTTCATGCCATTTGGACACAATCAAGCATCCATCATGTCCATTAGATTTTTAGTTCAATTACCAAAAGGACATTTTCCTCCTCAACATAAACTTGGGTGTATGAGACCCTTAGAAAGTAACTTCATTGTGTTGATCTTAATCTCATAATGCAGTTTACCTTTCTCCCAAGGAGCAGTGTACTTATTACAGAAGAAAGCTATTTCCAGTATCTCTCCCTGTGTGTGGTGGGTGTTACATTTATAGCAAAGATCTACAAATAAGGTTTCAGTATTTATGTTTGCTGTTCTGCTATACTGTTTTCTATTGATCTGTTTTTACTAAGACTGATGGTAAGGGCTATGGGATATAGAAGTTATTTTGAATTTCTGTTTAGATAAAATATATCAGTGCATTTAGTCATCATTGGAAATATATGTCCAAATGGGTTTAGTCGATGTTTAGAGGCTAAAATTTTCATGCAGAAGAAATTAATCATCTTTGTAAGAACTTAGAGTTAGTAAAGTTAGCATAATCTGAATGTCATATACTTGATGATATTTAAAAGAGAATAGATTGAAGTAAGAGTCGATACAGGTAGATCAATGAATATCATCAGAAATGTAGATAATTAAATAATTGTAAGAAAATTTCCACATTCGTGTGACAGTGCACACAACTAATTATACTAATCACAGTATATATATATGTATATGTGTGTGTATATATGTATATATGTGTGTGTGTGTGTGTGTATATATATATATAGATTTTTGTTTCATCCAAGAAACAAAGAAAATTGCAGTTCAGCATTTTCCTTAAGATACCTAATGGTATAGATGCTAATTTTATTTATGTCCTGTGTAAAAACTAATTGCATAAAAAAGAAGAATAACAGTTTAAAACCAGTCTAAATAAATGCTATTACTTATAAATTAGGGGAGGTGATATCTAGAATACAATGAACTGTTTTACTTACATAGTTTCAAATATCACTCCAATCAGGAAATACCTTACAATAGAACCCCGTGATGCATATATTCTGCTTCACTTTGGAGGCCCTATGTTTATATTAGGTCAAAATAGTTACTTTGAAAAGTCATCTATTTATTTGGTCACTTGCCTAATCGATTTTATGTAAAAACAGTTTGCCTAATGCCAAAAAATAGAAGCTACTTGCTTATGGCTTGAATATTTGGACATTGTTTTAACCCCATTTTATGTAGATATTTTGGTATTATATATATAAAACAGTCTTATGAGTCCTGCAAAATGGACTTAATGCCATGCTCAAAGTACCCTAGAGAAGATTCTAATGAAAAAATTGATGTCTCAATGCTTTTTCACCCTACTCCCTAAATGTTATTTCTTCGTTTCCTTATTCTTCAGCAGTTTTTATTTACATTTTTATTTTTTAATTGATCAAATAAAAGTTATATATATTTGTGGTATACAGGCGGTTTTGATATATACATGCACACATACACACACAAACACACACTCTGAAATGATTAAATAAAGTTTACATATTCATAAAGTTAAGTATGATGTCACATACTTATTTCTTTTTTTGGTGAGAACATTTAAAATCTACTGTCTCAGCAATTTTCAGGTATCAATACCTTGTTATTAACAGTAGTCACCATGCTGTACAATAGATCTCCAGAACTTAATCTTCCTATTTAACTGAAATTCTCTACCCTTTAACCAACATCTTCCCATTCCCTCCACTTCCCAGCCCCTCTGACAACCACTTTTCTACTCTGTTTGTATGAGTTCAACTTTTTTTGGTTCCACATATAAGTGAAATCATCTTCACCTCTTTACTTCTATTATAAGTCACATTTTATACAACAATCTCAGTCTGTATTAGGCTGAAGCCCAACTAGAACCTCCCAATTCTTTGCTAAAGTAGACAATGTAGCTGGCAGGGAAAGCCACCTATTCTAGGGGAATAACCTACAAACAATGTCAGTTTTAGATCTGACCATATCCTCCAATATTTGAAAGTGGCCTCCTGACAGTTCTGACAGTTTCAGCTATTGCAATTAGACCTGTTCTGATCAAAAGGGATTGTCCAGAATGTATTTATAAAATACGGATGGGGTTTAAACCCGTGTTATTCATCCAGTTAATCTAATTACTGCAGGGCATCTGTTTGGTGATCAGCTCATGCTTCCTTTGGGCAAGTTGAGGCATTAGAAAGATATGCTCTTGAACACTCCAAAGGTTTAGTATATTGTTCACTGAGTCATACTCTGCAGAGGGGTATGTGTTATTCAGATTAAATAGAAACTCTAGGTAAATGTAAATTATAATTATATGGATTGAAAAGCATGGGGATAACTCAAACCCCCTACTTATTCAGACAGATGTTAAAAATAGAATTTCGGAATACCTGGATACCTAGAGGAATTATTATTTAGAGCACATACTCAGATTTCATCTTCAGTAATTTTATCTTTGAATCACAAATCTAATTCCTTTTCTAATATAGCAGTACTTTTTTTCTTAATTCCACCTAATACTTGAGCTAAGAAAACATATTTTTATTGACTCTAATATTGGGAACCTTGAGGAAGAGCAGAAGTAGTAACACAGGACAACCTACCTTCTATAACCTAGTAGTTTTGGGGTTTTTTTAAAGCATTTTTCTATATTTGAAAATATAGAATTATATATTTCTATATTTGAAAATATAGAAATATATAATTTCTATATTTGAAAATATAGAAATTATATTTCAAATATAATATTTGAAATATCAAAATTCAAATTTAAGACTCAGGAGAGATCACCAGAAAGTGTGACTTTGAGTTGATAGTAATGTGAGCTCACTTAATCACTTACTCGCTCATTCATTCATTCAGTCACTCATTGAGTCTAACTCTGTGCCAGGCACTGTATACACCACTGTACACACCCTTGAGGTAGGCACAACGATGTCTGATGACTTAAAGCTCACTGCTGGGTGATTGGCAGGTGGAAAGAAGAAGGTGAAATAAAAATGGCAGCTGTACTCAGTTGACTTTCAGGCTTTACCTAGGACTAAAAAAGTTTATCAGAGGTCTTCTCTGGGAGGTCCTGAAAGGAAGTGAAATGTACAAAAAAGGCTGCCACTCCCTCTTTGCTGATGTAGCTACCTCCAGATTTTCAGTTCCATTTCAAGGGATTAAGACCACTCAATTATCACTTGCTTTACAGAACCAGGAAACATTAGTGTAGAAAAACTTGAGAAGTTACTCACTTAGATATGAATGGTGGAACAAGTGGGAAAAGGGAAAGCAAGAAGCAAATAATTCAGTTCTAATTGTTGCAGAAAGAAAGAGAGCGAGCGAATGGAGCCAAGTATTCATTCTGCCTCAGGTAATAAATGATGAAGAATGAAGAAAGATACCCCTCTGCTGCCGTCAATTCAGGACGCTGGTACAGGCACAGCATGGGCCCATGGAGAACACCTACACATCCAGCCCTACCTGAGCAGCAATTTCCTTCAGAAGTGCAGCTCTAGGTTTTGGTTTTATCTGAGGAATCACCTTCCTCCTCCTGCCAAGGAAGTAAAAAGTCCTCTGGAGTTATTAAATGATAAGTCAGAGCAATTCAAATAAAAGGTGATTAGCACCTCAAAGAACCTCACAAAAGCAATTTCTAGAGGTACTCTTTGCTGCAGAAGTCCTTTACACACCCAAATCCCTTGGCTCAAGGTCCCATCACGGCAGATTAGAGGTTGCTGGGTGGAGTGGAGCAAGTGTTCCTCTCGTTGGGATGGTTGGCTACGTCTCCCAGGAATGCTGACTCACAGGAGAAAGAGCAAGGGGAGGATCCAGCCTGCAACCTCAGCCCCCACAGGGTGTCCAGTTTACACAGCCCAGGGCCTGTCATTCAACAGGAGCCCGGGTTAAAACCAAAGCCTCACATTGGCAGCAAAGCAAGATACCAACCTCTCAAGTAAAATTTGCTGTGCGCTGCATCGGCCTCTATTTAAAGCTGATCAATCCTGGTAGGGCCCCTGTCACTATAAACTGCACTTCTCAGAGCTGTATTTTTAAGTAGGGAACTGCTTACAATAGCCATTTACAACTGTATGCTGTTTAATTAGCCAGCCTGGGCAGCGCTGCAGGCATAGATCACTTTGCTTTAAAGATTTCAGAATGTTAATAGTACAGTATATCATTTTAATTATTACTGGATTAATGTTGTGTCTCGAAGAACACCTAATGCAAATCATGAGGAATGGCCTGAAGTGACCCAAGGGTTGCGAGGTTTTGGAAAAGTAATAGTTCTGATGCTTAAATATAAGGACATTTTCTTTGTTCAAATGTCAGTCAGCATTCAGCAGCAGGGCTTTGTGGGGGCAAAGCTTTGTTTCGTTTATTAGTAGCAGTATTCTGCAGTTCAGGCTAAGAAAGGCCAAAGAGTTGGGTGAGAACTGCGAGTCTAGTGTGGTAGCCACCAGCCAGGCATGTGTGCTAAGAAGCGCTTGAATGTGAGTATTCTTCAGTGAGAAGTGCTGTCAGTGAAAAACACACACAGGATTGCAAAGACTTAGTACAAAACGAGGTGTAAAGTATCTTACTAATTTTTTTTATATTGGTTTCCTCTTTCAATGATAAAATTTAAGATATAAATGGTTAAATAAAAGCCATGATTAAAAAGTAGCCGGGTGTGGTGGTGCTCACCTGTAGTCCCAGCTACTAGGAGGTGTGAGGCTGAGGGGGGAAGATCACTTGAGACTGGGAGGTCAAGGCTGCAGTAAGCCATGAATGTGCCACTGCACTCCAGCCTGGGTGACAGAATGAGACCCTGGCTCAAAAAAATGAAAAAAAAAGTTAAAGATATGAAACATTAATTTCACCTTAATTTTTTAAAACTATTTTTAGTTTAGCTATTAGAAAATGTGTAATTACACGGATAGCTCAAACTAGTGACTCACATTTCATTTCATATGGCCAATGCTGGCCTACATTTCCAGGAAAAAAGAGAAAACTCAGGCCAACAATAAAAGTGCATTTAAAATTTCTTCTTTATTACCACTAGCTATATGGCAAGACGCTGTTAGTTTCATTTATACACACATACATGCACACACATATGTACATATGTGTATACATATGTGTAGGAGATACATATGTATATGTGAGATACATGTATGTATATATACATGTTTATACACACATACATGTGTATATATAATATGTATCTCATATATACATATATATCTATCTCTCCTATATCATATAGATGAGAAAGAGATATGTATCTTTTTTTAAAAACTTTTTTTAGTTTAGCTATTAGAAACTTTTTTTTGGCCAGGCGCAGTGGCTCATGCATGTAATCCCAGTACATGCGAGGCTCAGGCGGGCAGATCACTTAAGGTCAGGGTTCAAGACCAGCCTGGCCAACATGGTGAAACCCTGCCACTACTAAAAAATTACAAAAATTATCTGGGCATGGTGGCGTGTGCCTGTAATCCCAGCTACTTGGGAGACTGAGACAGGAGAATTGTTTAAACCCAGGAAGCAGAGGTTGCAGTGAGCTGAGATTGCACCACTGCACTCCAGCCTGGGCAACTGAGTGGTACTCCGTCTCAAAAAAAAAAAAGAAAGAAAGAGAGAAAGAAAGAGAGGAAGGAAGGAAGGAAGGCAAACTGCTAAATTCCATGGATATGGAGAACCAGTTAAAAGAAAACAACAAAAAAATATAAATTAGCAGGGTCTGCAAAGTTTGTGGAAAGTTAGAGAAGCACTAACTAAGCTTGTCAGGAAGCTATGGAGCTAACAAATTCCAAGGATGAACTAAAATCTCCTCCCAGAGCCTCACCTTTGCCACCATCATGCTGTTACTTGTTGGAAAAAGCTTCATTGTATCAACAGTGCTTCACAGCAAGTGTTATAAATGCTCTACAGCAAACCATGATTAAACCCATGAAGTATGTGCCCATGTAAGAAACACAGGAGAACATAGTTTTGACTCTACAACACTGAATGTCTAATTTTAAACAGATTTGAACACGCTCTTATGCCCTTCTCACCCCCTATTCCTGCACATTTGTTTGTCAAATGCCCACTTTCTTCGGTAATATAAGAGCCAAAAATTTAACAGGGGAAATGGTGTCAGGTTCACTCTAAAGGAGCTGAAATAAGTTATAAAGATGTCTCATTTGAACAAACTATTTTAAAGACATTTTTATGTCTTTGGCATTTCAAAATTCTCTATTAATATTTCCAAGAAATACTCATGCAGTCATCTGCTTTTGAAAGCTAGATTTCTTTTTATTTATTTATTTATTTATTTATTTAAATTATACTTTAAGTTTTAGGGTACATGTGCACAATGTGCAGGTTTGTTACGTATGTATACATATGCCATGTTGGTGTGCTGCACCCATTAACTCATCATTTACATTAGGTATATCTCTTAATGCTATCCCTCCCCCCTCCCCCCACCCCACAACAGGCCCTGGTGTGTGATGTTCCCCTTCCTGTGTCCAAGTGTTCTTATTGTTCAGTTCCCAACTATGAGTGAGAACATGCGGTGTTTGGTTTTTTGTCCTTGTGATAGTTTGCTGAGAATGATGGTTTCCAGCTTCATCCATGTCCCTACAATGGACATGAACTCATCCTTTTTTTATGGCTGCATAGTATTCCATGATGTATATGTGCCACATTTCCTTAATCCAGTCTATCATTGTTGGACATTTGGGTTGGTTCCAAGTGTTTGCTATTGTGAATAGTGCCACAATAAACATACGTGTGCATGGGTCTTTATAGCAGCATGATTTATAATCGTTTGGGTATATACCCACTAATGGGTTGGCTGGGTCAAATGGTATTTCTAGTTCTAGATCCCTGAGGAATCGCCACACTGACTTCCACAATGGTTGAACTAGTTTACAGTCCCACCAACAGTGTAAAAGTGTTCCTATTTCTCCACATCCTCTCCAGCACCTGTTGTTTCCTGACTTTTTGATGATCGCCATTCTAACTGGTGTGAGATGGTATCTCATTGTGGTTTTGATTTGCATTTCTCTGATGGCCAGTGATGATGAGCATTTTTTCATGTGTCTTTTGGCTGCATAAATGTCTTCTTTTGAGAAGTGTCTGTTCATCTCCTTCGCCCACTTGTTGATGGGGTTGTTCGTGTTTTTCTTGTAAATTTGTTTGAGTTCTTTGTAGATTCTGGATATTAGCCCTTTGTCAGGTGAGTAGATTGCAAAAATTTTCTCCCATTCTGTAGGTTGCCTGTTCACTCTGATGGTAGTCTCTTTTGTGGTGAAGAAGCTCCCTAGTTTAATTAGATCCCGTTTGTCAATTTTGGCTTTTGTTGCCATTGCTTTTGGTGTTTTAGACATGAAGTCCTTGCCCATGCCTATGTCATGAATGGTATTACCTAGGTTTTCTTCTAGGGTTTTTATGGTTTTAGATCTAGCATTTAAGTCTTTAATCCATCTTGAATTAATTTTTGTATAAGGTGTAAGGAAGGGATCCAGTTTTGCCAAGTCAATCCTAAGCCAAAAGAACAAAGCTGGAGGCATCATGCTACCTGACTTCAAACTATACTACAAGCCTACAGTAACCAAAACAGCATGGTACTGGTACCAAAACAGAGATATAGACCAATGGAACAGAACAGAGCCCTCAGAAATAATGCCACATATCTACAACTATCTGATCTTTGACAAACCTGACAAAAACAAGAAATGGGGAAAGGATTTCCTATTTAATAAATGGTGCTAGGAAAACTGAAAACTAGATTTCTAAAGTCAGTCAATACCTATCTATTCTCTATATGTGACACTAGGTGAAGAAGCAGAAAACATACCCATTGTCACTGCATTAGAAATGTGCAGAGCATGTTCATTGTGCTTCTGCACTAAAACAAAAAGGAATACTTGAATGTATATGGTAACTTCAATATGACAGGAAAACAGGACATGCGCGTTTTAAATGGAATGCTCCTAAACTGTTGTCCAAAGCCTTTCTATGTTATCAAAGAAACTTCAGTGAAGCAGAGGACTTTCTATTCTTTAGCCTCAAACAGATCTTTCTTTATCGTGGTCCTGATCAATAAAAATACTGAAAAGGATCCCCTAAAAAATATTGATTGCATTGCCCAGTCTGTACTTAGAGAGGGAAACATCTTCAGCATAAAAAAATCATTTAAGTGAGAGTCTGCACGTGGTGCTTGGACGATTTTCCACATGGAGTTTACTCAGTTTGCCATAGTTCATCTCTCCAGTTGGGAACCAGAAGGACTGGTTTTTAAATTCTAATTTTTATGAAGACCTACATGGAAAGAGTTAGGTGATTCGAACGGGAGTTTTAAGTAATCATAAAAACAATGATGAAAAAATAATAATAGTTAACATTTATTGAGTGCCTGACACATGGCGGATATTGTACTAAGCATATTGTATCTCATTTAATTCTCACAACATGCCCAATAACTAGATATTATTACATTCGATAGATTAAGATCTTGGGGCTCAGAAATATATAATAAATGGCCCAATAGGCAGAGATGTCATGTAGCTCTAGATTTGTCTGACTGCAAATTAGGTTCACTTGCTCTGATACAATTTGTTTCATATACACCTTTTACTCAAATAATGTAAGTGGGGTCTAGTGTGTGTAAGACTGGCATTCTCATCCACCATTTCTAGAAGAATCACCTATAACAAAAACAAAGTAATACCTTTTCAAACAGTTAAAAGTGAGTTCTTATTTTTATTTGCTCTAATTAAAGAAAAAAGTTATCTGAACCTGAGGCTATACTTATATGACGTGTAGAAATTCAGCTGAAAAGTGAAAGCAGTAGCTAATCAGCTCATCTTGAATACACACACATAAACTGGCTTAACTGGTTAGCTTCAGTGCATTAACCAGATAATAGGCTTGCATAGTCCAATATGGTAGCCACTAGCCACATGTGGATACCAAACAATTAAATGTGACTAGTCTTAGTTGATATATGCTTGTATTAATCCACATAAAATACACAGCAAATTTCAAAGTAAATTATGTCACTCATAATTTTTCATATTGAATATGTATTGAATGGGTAATAATTTGAATATAATGGATTAAATAAAATATCATTAAGATTAACATTACCGGCCGGGTGCTGTGGCTCAGACCTGTCATCCCAGCACTTTGGGAGGCCAAGGTGGGTGGATCACCTGAGGTCAGGAGTTTGAGACCAGCCTGGCCAACATGGTGAAACCCTGTCTCTACTAAAAATACAAAAAACAGCTGGCGTGGTAGCACAGGCCTGTAATTCCAGCTACCCAGGAGGCTGAGGCAGGAGAATTGCCAGAACCAGGAAGGCAGAGGCTGCAGTGAGCCGAGATCACTTCAGCCTGGGCGATAGAGCAAGACTCCATCTCAGAAAAAAAAAAGAGATTAACATTACCTTTTTTTCTTTTTTTTTTTTTACCTTTTCTTTTTAGCCTAGGCACCAGAAAATTTAAAATTTCACTTGTGGCTTGCATTATGTTTCTGTTGGACAGTGCCAGCAGAGACCATTCAAAAAATAAGATTATGATGGACAGCAGTACTGGAATATGTTGAACTTACGAAATACATATTTATTTTCCTCTATGTCCATAGCACTCTGCAAGGCATTAGGGACAGAAAGATGAAAAAAATCAAAAGTAAACAAGGACTTCATGGAATTTACGATTTAGGAAAGGAAACAGAAATATTTCATGTTAGCACAAGGGAGGAAGTGGTCAAAAAGGGAAGGATGAACCACCCTTGCAGTTGCAAATTGATGTTACCTTTAAATCCCTGCTATACATTGGTAAGGATCTTAAAATCTCACCCAGTCACCCCTGCAGGAGAACTGCCCAGACACAAGGTAACTACAACCAGCAATTCCCAAATATTCCTAATAGTTATGTCACTTGGACTCAAGTTTTATGGTATCGATAATGAACTTATTTGCTTGCTTTGGTAGAAAGGAGTGTGGACGATTCTTCACAATTCAGGGCTCATTGATATCCAGGAACTTTCTACTGTAAATGACAAAGAGTTTCACTGCCATGAAGAGAAATTGCTGCTGACCTTAGACCTTTATTTATTTATTTATTTTGTTTTTTGGAAAGTGGAATAATGGAGCACAGGAGCAGAGTTTGGTATTTGACCAAATCCTTCACAATTATCATGCATGTGTATATAATAAAATTAATTCTGTGTCTCTGCATTGTAGCCTGCGGCAAGAAGCGTACAATCAGTTTTGTATGTATAATAGATCACAGAGTTGTTCATGAATAATACAAATGCATTGAGCAGATACTAGTGAGAGAGGATGTTTGTCTTTGCATGGAATCGAAGTGAACATGTAATATTGTGATAATATATATTTGATGAATTCAGGTCTGACTTGCCTTTGCCATACTCTGCTAATTCCCCGACAAGGGTTGCCACAATAATTGAGTTTCCAATAACATTATGATTATTTCCACATGATAATTTAATTGTGGGTATTTTTTAATATTGTAATATTGTAGATTTGTGATTATTATGCATTTGCATGCAGATTTTCTTGGTGACTTGGAGCACATCCCTACATTTATAACTTAATTTTATATATTATTGCATATATATTTGGGGATGAACTCATTAATGCAAATAAAAAAATGTAGGTCTGTTTAGTCATTCAGTTTTTATTATAAATGTTGAAAGCCTTGCTCATTTTTTATAACAGTCCTTACAATACTGTGAATAAACCAAAGAGAACTTTAATTCGAGAATGGATTCATTAAAAAGAACGGTAATAGCTATAATAATTACAAATTGCAACATATTTGTTCCACCTAATTGGGATACAAGATCCTATATATTATTTTTTTCATAATGCAAAAGTTCTGGGTGTGCTATTTATTGACTTTATCATAGGAACTCCTTACTATTAAGGATGTAGAAAATATCGACTGATAATTTAGTCAGTGGAAAGTAAGCAAAAACTTAAGAAAACAAAATCCTAGACAACGTTTATATTGTACATCTTAAAAACGAGAAATAAATCCCATGGTAAAGACATCTGAGTTTCTGCAAAGACTCAAATTAGAGTTTAGGATAGAAAAGCAGAGGTATACTATATATATATATATATATATATATATACATATATTATGCAGCTATGTATTATGCAGATATATATTATCCATATATAGATATATAATACATATATTCAGATATATATTATACATATATACAGATATATATTACACATATATACAGATATATATTATACATATATACAGATATATATTATACATATATACAGATATATATTTAATATATACACAGATTATATATATATGTTTTGAGAGATGTGAATTCTGAACTAGTTCTTTAGATATAATAACTTGAAAATTTTAAAAATCAAAAATTTTGTGTTTAAAGCATGTATCCTAAAACAGTAAATATGAAGAAATTATGTATCTATTGCTACTTAAAAACAAGAGAAATGCTTACAACTGTCCAACAAACACTTTCAACAGATACATGCAAAAAATTATGGGCAATAATTTTTACTTTTACATATGTATTCATGTTTGATATCTAGAATAGAAATAGAGATTGCTGTTTTGGGGATTAACTTCACTTTGCTTTCACTTTAACTAGCCATACGCAGAGATTGAGGAAGGGATATATAAACCCCCAATGACACGATGGCTGATTTTGAATTGGCTGAATTCTACTAGATGTGTCCAAGTTAAATAACTTAGCAGAATTTAGCCATTTAAAAAATTTCACTGTTAATTTCATCTCAGGTTATTAGAATCAAAACTGTGAACGGAGAGTCCATATAAAGCTTAATTTTAATTTATATTTTTGTTATAATTTGGTTTTCAAATTCATCAGGCATTTGAGAACTGATGCTAAGCAGAGTCCTCATTTCATCACTGTAAGAGGTGAAGGTTTCCCAGGAAACGAAGCTGCCAGAAAGTTTCTTATATACTGGTTTGGCTAGACAGGGCACCGAGACAGAATGAAGGCATGCTATAGCAGAAGTGCAGCAAAGCACTATTCAGGGATGCCCAAATTGAAGAACTCTACTTGATTGATCTTGTGATGTACAGAATTATGAGGAATGAAAAATGGGGAATGCCAAGATCAAAGATAGAAAATGGTCAAAAAGATTCATGAAAAAGACACATCTTTAGAATCAGATAAATGAGATATAATTTTAACTTCTGGGAGCTTTCCCTATTAAAATGGGGGAAGCAACACCTACATTACAGAAGTATGGTAAGAATTAGAACTAAAACATCTGAAGGAAAATGGCTCAAGGCTTGGCATCTAAAAGGCATCTCAAATATAAATAATAACAGCAGCCAACGCTAATTGAATGCTTACAAGGCACTGAGTACTGATTCTCATTTTAGCTCGGTCTGTACTATTATCTCTTTTGTGCAGTTGAGAAAGCTCAGATGAAAACTAATGAATAAACCACTCAAGGTCATGCTGCTGTTAGAGGCTAGAGGCAGCTCTAGAATCCCAGACATCTGACCCTGGGGCTATCTAAATAAGCGATATTACTGTGTTAAACTGTATGACGTATCACACAAATGGAAAGTACCCTACTAGGCTCCATTATATTAATTATGAATTGACTTAGTGAGGGCTGAGGCTTAAAATGTCAATTGGGGTTAGGGATTAGGATGTAGTTTTCAAGGTAAATAGTTCTCCTGGTGTGGTCTTGGGACCAGTACCATTAGCATCACTTGAGAACTTGTTAGAAATGCAAGTTCTTAGGCTCCCACTCAGGCCAATTAAATCAGAAACTCTGGGGGTTGGGCCAAGAAATCTGTGTTAACGAGATCTCCTGTAGCTTCTGATGCACTGTCATTTGGAAACCACTGCCCTAGGTCAAACCATGCCATGATAGTTCCCACATCACGTCATGGTTTGATCTGGACTTTAGGAAAGTGACTGGTGGCAGGCTTGAAGCATAGAATGCACAGGAGGCTTACCTCAATTGTTCAGATGGGAAATACTGAAGGATTAATCCTGGATATTACTAATGAGTCTTCAAAGTCAGAGGGATAAGTGACAAGAAATAGCAAAGCCTCGTGCTACAGCCTGAATATTTTTGTTATCCCAAAATTCCTGTGTTGCTAATCCCCAGTGCAAGTCTATTAGGAGGTGCGGTCATTAAGAGGTGATTAGGTCATGGGGGTGGAGCCCTCTTGAATGGGATTAGTGCCCTTAATAAAGAGACCCTGGAGATCTGCCTTCCTTCTTCCACAGTGTGAGGGCACAGCAAGAAGGTAGCACCTATGATCTAGGAAACAGACCCTCACCAGACACGGAATCTGCCAGTTCCTTGATCTTGGACTTCCCAGCCTCTAGAACTGTGAGCAATGAATTTCTGTGGTTTATAAGCCACTCAGTCTATGGTATTTTTTATAGCAGTCTGAATGGATTAAGACACATGGTAACTGACTGAGTACAATAAACAGGAGCAGTAGAAGAGGAAATCATTGAAGAAAATATGAATATCTCTATCCTGAGAATCAGGTGGTTGTTGATGTCATTGATTAATACAAGGGGAAAATAAGGAAAAAAAAAAACAGGGGAAGTATATATTCAAGTTCTTTTAGTCATAACTATGGTCTTAGAGCAATTGTTAAGTTCTTTTCAAGTTGTAGGTCAATTTAAATCTATTCTTTTTGTCTCACATAACCCTCCCAATTGTCTGCTTCTAATTGTTTTTGAAAATGTGTAAAACATTGAACAATTTTTCTTTTCCTCAACCTTTAATGAATCTGTTCCCCTTTTCCATCTCCATCACAAGATTTGGAGTAGGAGGAAAGTTTGTAAAAGCCTGGGTCCTGCACTACTATCTTCCCAAAGGTGAGAGAAGGAGCCTGGTCTAATGAGAAAATTACGGGAAAAATTTTCACCTGACGTATGCTGTACATCTAATTAATCACCTTTCACTTTTTTAGATGTTAGGGAGTTTTCTAGTTTTCCCTCATTATAGTTTCCTCATCAGAAAAATGGGGATGAGGATATTTGAGATTACATAAGAAAGTGTTTGAAAACTACAAAATGCCAAAAAAGTCCAAGCTAGTGCTATCAGTAAGTTTTTAGAGCACATAACTAAAATCAAGAGAGATCTTACAGGTAGGAAATAGATTGTGGGGTAGGTGAATTACTTTCACAGAAAATCTACTTTCTGGCTGGGCGGGCGCAGTGGCTCACGCCTGTAATCCCAGCACTTTGGGAGGCCAAGGCAGGCAGATCACCTGAGGTCGGGAGTTTGAGACCAGCCTGACCAACATGGAGAAACCCTGTCTCTACTAAAAATACAAAAAAAAAAAAAAAAAAAAAATTAGCCAGGTGTAATGGCACATGCTTTTAATCCCAGCTACTCAGGAGGCTGAGTCAGGAGAATTGCTTAAACCTGGAAGGAGGAGATTGCGCTGAGCCAAAATCACACCATTGCACTCCAGCCTGGGTAACAAGAGCAAAGCTCCGTCTCAAAAAGAAAAAAAAGAAAAGAAAAGAAACAAGAAAAAAAGAAAATCTCCTTTCTTTTTTGCCACATTGTCTTTGAGGAAACACAAGAGTTTTTAGATTTTCCTGCCTTTGGTAGGTGTACCCTGAACAATAAAGAAAACAACAGGTGAAACCCTTTCAAAACTGGCATTTTTAGTAATGGTATGTAAAAAATAATCGGTCTATGACCTCAGCTTTTGCATCTATTCTCATTATTAGCGTTTGACCTCTTGCGGGGACTTGTGTCTGGGCACTTTAGTTCAAAAGAAAAAACTCTCATGAGAGAAAGGTTCGTGGGGTTTGGGGAGGAGAATCACAGATTCCACAGTGAGTTCCTTCTTGTAAACTGTTTTATAGTTAGAAACTTTTAACAACCAAATTAGTTATTGCATCAATGTAACAGAAAAATAGTACTTTCTATTTTTAGTGAATCTGCAAATTCGCTAATCTTTAATAAATGTGTTACTGGAAAGGTGTCCCAATCCAGACCCCAAGAGAGGGTTCTTGGATCTTTCACAAGAAAGAATTCGAGGTGAATCCATACAGTAAAGTGAAAGCAAGTACTAAGAAAGTAAAGGAAGAAAGAATGGTTACTCCATAGGCAGGGCAGCCCCGAGTGCTGCTGCTAGTTGCCCACTTTTATGGTTATTTCTTGATTAAATGTTAAACAAGGGGTGAATTATTCATGCCTCCCCTTTTTAGACCATATAGGGTAACTTCCTGATGCAGCTATGGCATTTGTAAACTGTCATGGGGCTGGTGGGAGTGTAGCAGTGAAGACGACCAGAGGTCACTCTCATCGCCATCTTGGTTTTGGTGGGATTCGGCTGGCTCCTTTACTGCAAACCTGTTTTATCAGCAAGGTCTTTATAACCTGTATCTTGTGCCGACCTCCTATCTCATCCTGTGACTTAGAATACCTTAACCATCTGAGATTGAAGCCCAGTAGGTCTCAGGCTCATTTTACCTAGCCCCTATTCAAGATGGAGTTGCTTTGGTTCAGACACCTCTGACAAATGGATTCAAAGAATTATCAAAAAAACTAAATAATTTTACTAGTACAGACATATCTATTAATTCTAGTTATTCTTCTAATAATTAGAACTAAAATAACTCATGCAATGTTCACATAGAAACACCAACCTTTAATCCCCATGTCTAGTGCCATATTTAATGACTATTGAATATCCTCATTAAAATTCATGTTTAGCTATTACCTGAATTATAATTGTTCTCCCACCACACCTGTATTCTGATGAGTCAATACTCACACCCGTGTATGTCCACCTCTGTGAGAACAGTTGCTACTGGTGATATATTCTTCCATAATAGAGATTTCTTTTTTCCCCCAGGTGAGGGTTGATGCCTGGCAGTGAATACACATTCGGCAAAAAGCCACATAATGTGTTTGCTTTTGATCCTCTGGGAATTATTCTACTGCCTACTGAAGCAAAAGGTGCCTGGGCAGGTTGGCAGCTGCAAATCTACTCTTCACAAAATGTTAGAATTGCAGCTACTAGAAGCCCTGAAAGGTTCTTAATACAAAATCATACTTAGTAAATTTTATTTACGTTCTGAACTCCAAGAAATAACCCCAGAAGCTGGGGAGTACCTTTGCTGTTTTTTTTTATTTTGTTTTGTTTTTTAATTCTGTGATCAGGCTAGAGTTTTTGGAGCACCTCGTTTGAGTCCAAAGGGGAGCAACAATCCACATGTCAGTCCGGTGACAGAGAGGCACAGAATTTCTTGGGGATTAATGACTGACTCAACTTTGTTCATTTCAAAGTAGCAAAAAACCCCAGTAGATTAATCCCAAGAAAATGCCCTGATACCATTGATTTTAAAAGCTAAGGAAAAATATATACCTCTTACGATTTGTTTATGTATGCAAAGGTTCCATTTATTCTTGTTAGTAGTAATAATGATAGGCTCCCACGGTGCTTTTGTGACACATGTTCTTTGCCCTTCAGGTTCCTTTACGCAGAACAAGAGGAAATACACTGATTTGCATTGACTTCCCATGGCGGTTCTATAGGCAAGGGGATTTTTTCACATCTCTGTGGGAAGTACAAGATCTCTCTGAGAATGGAATGTCTAAGGAATTACTACCCTGTACGTTGGCCAGTCAGATTTCCTGAATAATCGCTCAACATTCCATTTGCCTTATTACATTGTGCATCATTTTAATTTCCTCCAGGTAATCATATGACAGATCTCTCACGCATATAAGGCACTCGTTTTTTCCTGTGCAACAGCTACAAACAAAAAGCATGTAGTTCAAGAGGAGAAAACAAAAATGGAAGAGTCAAAACATATTAAACAAGCTTAATTTGTTTGAACATATTTTATGCTCCTCATCATCCCCAGTGCTTTCCTGTTGTGAAATGGTGCATTTTGTTTTCAAAATTACAAACTGGTGATAAAAAGAAGGCATTTTTACTGTAAGGTCACATTCCAAGCATATTATCATATGTCTATTTCTTATGTGTGGCTTTTACCAGAAGAAAGACCCACTTGTGTGCATTTGTATTTTAAGAACCATGTGATGGCATAGCCATCTTGAAATTCTTTTCAAAGAATTTGCTACTTGCCAAAGTTCTGCAAAATATTCTGCCAATCAGTCATTTTGTCTATAGAATACAAATTAAACTTTTGGACGTATAATTTTCCCATGAGTTTATCGCTTGAGCTTAAAACTATTTAGGATCTGTTAAAGGATCATTGTTTTATTTAGGACACAGATGGTTTCTTCAGATGGGAAGAAATAGGCAACAACTGTTCAACC
The DNA here is from genome assembly GCF_000001405.40 of Homo sapiens. NCBI lineage: Eukaryota > Metazoa > Chordata > Mammalia > Primates > Hominidae > Homo > Homo sapiens. Next base: position 9,502,911 of record NC_000006.12, on the reverse strand, counting down.
ACAGAAAAGTCATCCTCAAAACAAGAACCACTGATTGAGCTCCCATTATATAATTGTAATCAGTCATAGCAAAGTACACTTATAAGCACTTATGACGTGCTAGGCACTAAGTACCTTGCATTAATTAATTAGCACTTGTAAAAAATGGTTTTCTTATTAGCCAACCTGTGAACGGGTGTTTCTTTTCAATTCTACTTTTTGTCAGAATTAACTGGACTAAAAGTTCTCCATGAAACAAATTCAATGGATGAATGTATGCTCTTCTGTTTTGCATTTCATGTAGAACCTAAGTAATTCACTATTGCAAGTCAGTTATGGGATGCAGAGTTTCTTTTTTATTTTATCTAAAATACACCCATTGTTATAAGTCATTTTTATTAGAAATATAATATAATCCTCTTTAAATACAAGACAATAGTGAAGGGAAAGACAATTGCCCACAATTCAAGTTATTTTGAGCATAGACTTTTGGGTGGCAGAATTGGATTTATGCCCTAGTTCTGTTACATTGTGTAATATTTGTACAAATAACTAGCCTCGTCCTAAATTCTGGATCTGCAAAATGAACAACATAGCACCAATTTCTGAGCACTCCTATGAGATGTAAGTCAGTTTAAAGTGTAAAGAGAGGCTGGAACCTAATAGATACTAACACTACTCTAGTTTTTGAAACATAAACACTGGCACTTTGAGTTTTACCTTTTTTTCCCTCTTCTATGAGTTTGTATTTTTTTAATCATTGAATACATGTAAGTTGGAATCCTAATGTTTTCTATTAAATGAGTTTTTTTCTGTATTTTAAAGTCTTTATAACTATAGTTTTTAAAGTTCTAACAGGTGAAGAGCTTATTTTTTTTACTTCCAAAGATAAGATCATTCATCTTAGCTTCTCTTTTGAGCTCTAGAATACTGGTTCGAAAATTGTTTGCTTGGAGCATCCTGGTTCTTCAGAGGTACGTTGCAGGTAGTTTGAGGTGGGTGGTTGAACATTATCCAAGCAGGTGTGCTTTCATGAGTTTTAGGGTCCACTGTAAGGGTTCCGTTTCTTCTAATTTACCTTTAGTGAGATGAATTAGTATCCCTAGTCCAATTGAGCGTTATTGAATTTATTTGTGAAGCCTAATGGAAAAGCCACATGCTGCAAAGCCAGCCGTAGCTGGCTTGGAACGGTGGTTTGCCTGTGTCCTGGTTGAAGGACTTGGAGGAACTGCCTATCTTCTCTGAGTATCAGTTTCTCATTGGTAGCAGGAGGTTACTAATATCCACGTTTTGGGACTGTCGTATGAATCAAATGAAGCTGATTCAGGGCAGGTCTTGGCTTCACTGGGAAGGGATTCAACAGGGAACCAGGGATAAAAGAAAACAGCTTTACTGAGGGGATGACAGCGTTATAGCTCCATGACTGCTCCTGCAGAGCAGGGCTACCTCACAGGCAGTGCGCTGAGAGTAGCAGCCTAACAGCAGTTTTTGCAGTCATACCCACTTTTAATGACACGCTAATTTAGGGGAAAGTTATTCAGAAACAGCTAGAAAATAGGCGCTAATTTCTGGGTGTGGCCATTGCAAGGGGCGGTAATTTCCTGGTGTTGCTATGGCCATGGCCAATTGTCGTGGCGCTGGTGGGCGTGTCTTATAAAGGTACTTTCCCAGCCTCTTCCCGATTTCAACCAGCATTCAACCCCGTCCAGAGATGCATCCTACCTGGCTTTTTTTTTTTTTTCTTTTGAGACGGAGTCTCGCTCTGTCGCCCAGGCTGGAGTGCAGTGGCGCGATCTCGGCTCACTGCAAGCTCCGCCTCCTGGGTTCACGCCATTCTCCCGCCTCAGCCTCCCGAGTAGCTGGGACTACAGGCGCCCGCCACCACAACAGGCTAATTCTTTTTTGTATTTTTAATAGAGACAGGGTTTCACCGTGTTAGCCAGGATGGTGTCGAGATCTGCCTTCCTCGGCCTCCCAAACTGCTGGGATTACAGGCGTGAGCCACCGCGTCCGGCTGCCTTTTCTACTTCAAAATGATTATACAAAGTTTTTTGACATTTATTCACTATACACTAAAATCACAATTATTTACAAAGTTTGTTTTGCTATACATGGATGTAGAAGTATACATACATAAGCATACACATGCTTTTATTATAAAACAGAAACAATAGACATCATTTTTCAAAGCAATGGATACATGGCTTTTCATGCTAGGAAGTATAAAGAGACGTGATCTGTGAAAGAATGACTTTGCTAAAAGAAATTTTCTGTGGATCAAACCAAATGATACTGATTCAGTCAAGCGTGGCAGAGCACCCTCGAATAATCAACTTTTCAACGTTATATATTTACTCAAAAACTATATTTAATAGAAAACATAAAACATTTTAAAAGTTCTAAGTAACCTGTCTGTCTCTGTGAGCTGTGTATGCCTGTTGATTATTAGACTTTACTCTTTTCCAAAGAGGCTGCTTAGACGATAAAAGGTAATAGTGGTCTCTGAATAAGAGGTACATTTTCTTGTATTAATAATATCGATTTCTAGTTAAACTTGAATCCCTTCTTAGTCCTATTTGTACAATAGATGTTCATTATTTTAAATAATACAATGCTGTTTGTATGATTGATGAGCCTGTGGTTCTGAGTTAAAAAGTAAGAAATTTGATTATTTTTTATCAAGAGGGACAAATGCTTCATGAGGTCATAGGAGAGTGACTATGGAGGTTGCACTGCTCCCGGGACATTTTGGACATTTGTGGGGGAGTCATTGGTTGTCACAATGATTGGAGTGATGCTGACATGGTTGAGCATCCCAAATCTGAAAATATCTGAAATTTGAAACACTTCTGGTCCCAAGCATTTCAGATAAGGGATACTCAACCTGTAGGGTTTCGTGAGCAGAAGCAAGAGGATTTAATTACAAAGACACTGTGTGATTCAGTCTAGCCCTAGAAGGACGTGCCTGTGTATCCCATGACTTCCGTTTGTCTTGCTGAAAATTCATGTAGATGAACATCTGTTTATCTGAAACTAGATCCTAATTTGGGTAACACATGAACCAAAAGTTGGTGCCGTTGTTGTTGCTTTTACTCAGTTTTAATTTACATTGAAGTTTCTTGGAACACATTTGCCACAAAAATTGAGAAAGGAGGTCACTTTGTTTCATCTGGAAAAGTACCAAGGTTTTTCTCACTATTTTAGAATATCACATCACTGACCATAACGCTACCAATAAAGCCCATCTGTGTCATTCTTATTTAAAGCTGTCATGTTTAGGGAATTTCAGCGGCAAATATCTACTTCCTTGTTACATCTTCTAGCAAGCTTGTGCCCAAACATTTACATAATAACGTGCACATTATTTTATTGTCAATGTTTTCCTTTTATTGTTTTTTTACATTTCACTCACAGCTAATACTAATTTTAATTTCATTTTTGGCAACTTATATTATCTATACATTGTATTTCACGATGATAAAGCAGGGATTTCACATTATCTATTATTAAACAGAATGCCGAGTCAGGTGGGGCTGAGGACCATGCATATAGTGATCTAGAATTCAGACTCCAGACTGAGTGGCTTTCTGGGTTCTACTTCAGTTCTGCCACTTGCTAGCTATGTGATCAGAGACAAGTTCTTTAACAAGGCAGAGCTACTGTGGCCTCACCTGCAAAATAGGATTAAGGACTTGCCTTAGATGAGTATTGAGAAGACTTTGTGCGTTAAGGGCTCATGTGTCCTAAGTGTTTAAAAAACACTTGTTTTTTTACCATGAGTGAGGACTCAATTGTCCTCAATCATGGTAATTTTTTTTTTTTTTTTTTTTTTTTTTTTTTTAGACCAAGTTTCACTCTTGTTGCTCAGGCTGGAGTACAGTGGCGAGATCTCTGTTCACTGCAACCTCCGCCTCCCAGGTTCAAGCAATTCTCCTGCCTCAGCCTCCCTGGTAGCTGGGCTTACAGGCTCGTGTCACCACGCCTGGCTAATTTTTGTATTTTTAGTAGAGGTGGGGTTTCACCAGGTTGGCCAGCTGGTCTTGAACTCCTGACCTCAGGTGATCCACCTGCCTCAGCCTCCCTAAGTGTTGGGATTACAGGCATGACACACCACGCCCGTCCAATCATGGGAATTTTTAACTCATTATATGCTAAGATGAATAGCAGTGTTTGTTTTTATTTTATTTTTTTGTTTTTTACTTCAAAATGATCTATGTAATATAGTTTTCTTGAGGCCATAGTAATGATCATGATGAAAATAATGAACTTCATGAAAGCTGCTAGATATTTTCCCCATTCCAAACTTTCATCTCTAGGTTAGAGAAGGGGTATGTTGTCATATTTATAAACCAAAAATAAAATTCTAAGCCCCCTAACTAAGTGAATGGACCCCTCCTCTGGGCCGAGGGCATTTTATAGTAAACTTGAAACTAGTTCAAGCCATGATGAGAATGGGTGGCCAGACATGCCTCATTATACCGTCCTCCCTTTGGAAGGAAGCCAACCAACCTTAACATTAAAGCGGACATTAAGACCGACAAAGCAAACTCTTTGTAGCAATAAGATACCAACATGACACCTAGCAGGACCTGAAAGAAATCAAAGTATTTTAACCCAAAATATATTTCTTTGACAAATTTTGAAACGGTCCTGCAAGTTTGTCTCTTGTAGGGAAAATCTACATTCTGCAGAGAATTCCCTTCTCATTCCAGGTCTTTTCCCTGATTCAGGAGAGAATTAACTAAGAGTCTGGAACCTTTTTGGGTCTGATAAGAGCTCTGAAGCCTGCTGCCTGGAGGTTTCATCTGCATGATAAAACTCTGGTCTCTACAACCCCTTATCTTAACCCAGACCTTCCTTTCTATTGATTCTAGGCCTTCAGATAATAACTCTTTCAACCAATTGCCCATCAGAAAATCTCTGAATCCAACTATGACCTGGAAGCCCCAGCTCTCCAACCCCTTCAAATTGTCCTAACTTTCTGGACCAAATAAATGTACATCTTTCATGTATTGATTGATGTCTTATAGCTCCCTAAAATGTATAAAACCATGCTATATCCCAACCATCTGGGGAGATGTTCTCAGGATCTCCTGGGGCTGTGTCACAGAGCAGTCATCACCCATACATGGCTCACAATAAATCTCCTCAAATATTTTACGAACATTTGAATTTGCCTTTTCATCAACAAATATATGATTGGAGGGGAAAAAAAAACTACTTTGGATGCAGTTTTTAGAACTGATTTGAAGTAAGGAGTGCATACCAACAGATGTAGGGAAAAGCAATCCAGATGAGACACAGCGGCGGCCTGGCTCCTGTGGGGTTGTGGGGGCCTGGAGGGGAATGTCTGTTCTTGAGAGATATTGAAAACAGAAAACAAAGGTGATGGGATTTTGCAGTGCATTAATTTGGGTAAGGTATGAGGTAGAAGGGACTGTCAAGTTCAACCCCAAATTTCATTCAGCTTCACAAATAGGAGGGCATTCAGCTTCACAAATAGGAGAAATATAGACATTACGGTACATAGGGGACCTTTTTATTATAAAGGCTGCCTATGCCAGTATTCATTTATTCAAGAACAGTGAATAGGGAACTGAGCTAGAGACAAAAGTCCTTACACAATCTACTACTCTATAAGTAATCTCTATTATTTAGTTATCTTGCTGATTTTTGAGGCAAGAAGGCTGCCTAAAAAAACGCAATAAAATGTGTCTTCTTCATGACCACCAATACTTAGGGGACCCCATGGTATCCTGAAACTGACCCACCAACTCTTTGTCCTTCGACATAACCGGAGTTTATTTACTCACAGATGCGGTAGCCCAGGCCAAAGTCACCCAGTTCTTTCTGTGCACTGACATTTTTTAGCACTTGGCAAATGTTGATTCCTACATGAATCATTCTAAGTCTCTTCCACAAAAAGATCATTATCTAATACGAAATGCAGATGCATAAAGGTCTTAATTAACTGTTAGAAATACAGGAGGGTAAAAGGAACAGAACCATCCAAGCTACTAAAGGAGGACCTAGGAAGACTTCACATAGGGAGTGACAACTGATTGAAATCTTTACCCGTGGACAGTTTCCTAGACAGAAATCATGTGGGAGGGCATATGGAAACTCAAGGAGACGTGTAATATGTATTTTTGTATTGCTGGAAACAATGTATACTTAGAGCAAAAGATATAGCTGATTTAATATTTCTAGGCTGTAACATAAGCACTGTTTTTTTTTGAAATGGAGTCTCACTCTTTTGCCAGGCTGGAGTGCAGTGGCGCGATCTTGGCTCACTGCAACCTCCACCTCCTGGGTTCAAGCGATTCTCCTGCCTCAGCGTCTCAAGTAGCTGGGACTACAGGTGCTTGCCACTATACCCAGCTAATTTTTTTGTGTGTTTTCAATAGAGGCGGGGTTTCACCATGTCGGCCAGGATGGTCTCCATCTCCTGACCTTGTGATCCGCTCTCCTCGGCCTCCCAAAGTGCTGGGATTTCAGGCGTGAGCCACCTCGCCTGGCCCATGAGCACTGATTTAACAGCTTTACTGAGATGTAATTGACGTGCAGGACAATGCACATATTTAAAGTGTACAATTTAGTAAGTTTTGACACGTGTACCCTGCTCAAACCATCCTCAGAATCAAGCTAGTGAACATCTAGCTTCACTAGCTGTGTGGGTGAAGCTTTTGGGTGATACCCCCAAAAGTTTAATCAGGTCTCTGTAGGCTCTCCCAGCTCTCTTTGTTTCCCATCACCAAGCAACCACCGATCTGCTTTATATCACAATATATTAGTTTTGATTTTCTAAAGTTTTACATAAGTGACATCATATGGTATACTCTTTTTTGTTTGGCTTATTTCACTGAGCATGATTACTTTGAGATCCATTTATGTTGTTTGTACCAATGGTGCATTCTTTTTCAGTGCTGCGTAGTGTTCCATAGATACCACAACTTGTTTATCCTTTCATCTGATTGACATTTTGTTTTGTTTTGTTTTCCCTAGTTTTGAACTATTACAAATAAAGCTACTATGATCCTCCATGTATGAGTCTTTGAATGCACATACGTTTCCTTTTCTCTTGAGTAAATACCTAGAAGCAGAATGGCTGTGTCTCATAGTAGGTGTAGGCTTAATGTTTTAAGAAATTGCTGAACTGTTTGCATAATGGTGGCAGCATTTTATATTTCCACCAGCAATATACAAACATTCTAGTTCTTCCACATCCATGCCAACAGTTGGTGAAATGTGTATTTTTTACTTTTAATCATTCTAATAGTGGTACAGTGGTATCTTATCATGGTTTTAACTTGCATTTCTCTAATGAATAATGATGTTGATCACCTTTTCATCTGATGAAGGTAGAAATATCACCTTTATTCATTCTCTTAATAGCGTCTTTCAAATACCAAAAAATTTTAGCTTTGATAAAATTCAATTGTATCAATTATTTTTTCTTGTCCTCGGTAATCAAGTTTGTGATGTCATATCTAACAAATCTTTCAATTAGAATCTCTGGGAATGGGACTCAGTTATCATACGTTTTAAAAGCTTCTCAGGTGAGTTCATATGTAGTCAAGCTTGAGAACCAGTGTGCTAGATCAGTGCTTCTCAGATTTTAAATGTGAATTCAAAACACCTGGGAATCTTCTTAAAATGCAGATGCAGATGTAGGACTGAGATGCTACATCTGACAACAAAAACAAGCAAACAAGCAAGATAAAGCAAGCAAGGCAGTCAGTCAGAAGCCAGGCAAAGAATTGTGTCTGCTACTTTAAGGAATTTAGGGATTTGAGCTTGATTATTTTGGCTATGGGGACTCATTGGAGGGCTTACAAGAAATGAGTAATGTGGTTGCATTTGTGTTTTAGAAAGATCATTCTGGTAGCAGAAGGATGGGAAAAGATAAGACTTGAATCAGAGGACCTGCCAGCGTGTGTTCTATAATCTAGGAGATAAATAAAGTGTAAAGAAGTGAAGACTCAAAGAAAAGGGGGTGAATATGAAAGGCATTTAAGAAAATTGCAACACTGAATAGGAGGGTGAGGGAAGAGTGACTCCTTGAATGCCTTTGGACACTGGAAGAGTTGTGACACTATCACATTTTTCAATATAGGAAGAGAGAGTTGAGGTTAGGCTGTGTTGGCTGACACAGAAGTTGAATTTCGGCCGGGCGCGGTGGCTCACGCCTGTAATCCCAGCACTTTGGGAGGCCGAGGCGGGCGGATCACGAGGTCAGGAGATCGAGACCATCCCGGCTAAAACGGTGAAACCCCGTCTCTACTAAAAATACAAAAAAATTAGCCGGGCGTAGTGGCGGGCGCCTGTAGTCCCAGCTACTCGGGAGGCTGAGGCAGGAGAATGGCGTGAACCCGGGAGGCGGAGCTTGCAGTGAGCCGAGATCCCGCCACTGCACTCCAGCCTGGGCGACAGAGCGAGACTCCGTCTCAAAAAAAAAAAAAAAAAAAAAAAAAAAAGAAGTTGAATTTCAGACATGTTAAGACTAGAAAGCTTTTGGGCCATTCAGGAGTAGATGCTCAGTAGAGCATTGGTTGAAAGGGTCTTGGGAGCGTGCATTTAGGAATCAGCCGGTGTAAGGACATTGGAGATCATGTGTGTGAACGGAATTGCCCATTGAAGATACAGACCATTCAAATCAAAAAAGACCTACAAGGGATGGTTTTGGAGGTCACCAATGTCACTTTTCAGGGGCATTGAGGGGCAGAAACCTGAGTGCAGTGAATTGAGGGGTGGAGAAGAGTCTTTGCCCTCAGGGTTTTTATCGATCACCTTACAGGGTAATTACCAGGCTACAAGCGCTGACTGTCTACTAGATTGCCCTGAGCATCCGGGACTAACTTCTCAAAATCCTGCTTCAAGGAATGATCGTCCTCCCCCAATCCCTATGTTTATTGGAAGAATTGTGAGGTATCAAATAGGAGGCTGACACTGGCCACACATCACAAGTCAAAGGTCAAAGGAGGTAAACAGCCTCCACAGCATGTCTTCCCAAGGCCCAGTGTATCAACGCTCTTTTTCCGGTTTGGTTGTTAAAACTTCTTCACACTTTCACCTAGGCCCTCTGGCTCAGTTTCCTAACTCTTGCAGGAAAAGAGTTGATCCACATTTCAGAAGTGTCTCCCTCAACAGGTTTATTTTCACAGTCATATTTTTTGGGGTTTTCTTTCAAGTAGCAGGCCTTATTCTGGCATGGATTACTGTGTTGGGTTTGAAAGATCAGGGCAAAGCTCTCATGCCCCACTGAACACAATCAGAAACATTTCCATTTTTGTTCCGATTGCAAGAGACAAATCCTAAAATTACCATGTGGGTCTAAATGTTCAGTATCATGTGAGAAACATGCCTCCAAGTTGGTAATCATACTATGTACACTGTGGTTTCTGGATTCCTTCTCTCTTTTTATTTTCGCTTTCTAGTATAAATTCCATTTGTAGTTTTCAAGGCACTGTCTCTGAGTATATATACCATTTCATTTAGCTTTTGCAAGCTAAGGGCAAAGTTTCTGTAGGTTTCTTCACTAAATTCTAGCCTGTCAAAGAGGAGAGAAGTGAGCACCAGGCCACGATGAAAGGGGGTCGTGCATCTTTAAAGAAAACTGCAAAGGAAACCCTAACCTCTCCTAATTTACATAGGGTGACATTTTGCAGAAATATTGAAGCATTAGCTGTGACATAATGAAATTCTGCCTATCAGCCATGAAAGGAATAATGTTACTGTTAAGGTAACCTGTCCACAGTTTGTTATCAAGAAAATATTCTTGCCAAGAAACATATATTTAGTAAGGCATGATAAGAAGGGATTTTTCTCCCCTTACATTTTCTTTCCTGGGCTATCCATCTTCCCCTACAGATTTACTGCACGATCACTCCCTTTACATGCTAATTATGTGCAGGTCTGGCGAATTTGTTAGTGGTGACACTTCTGGGACCCAGTGGGACTGCAACTCATTATGTGGCAATGTCCAGATATATCAGATATTATTAGCTGTCATTAATCTGCTGTGGAAACACTGAGTGCTAAGCCAGGGAAGGAGGAGAAACGAGTGTGCAAATGAAGTCTGGAAACAGCCTGAACCCCAAAAGGTCAAAGGGGAAATCAGCCAAAGAGGGGAGGACAACATTTTGTTCCTGATTTTTTACCCCATTAGCTAACAGGGTGCACCAGGAAGAAGGAGCAAAGAAGCATCACTTAGCCGTTTGTTATTTTAATACCCCTTGTGGCCATTTCACTGGCACTAACCTTTTACTGTAATTATGTGAAATTATATACATTATCTGTTAACTTGTCCTAGATGCAAAGAAACACCAGAGATGGGCATTTTACCGTGGGACATACTTCAGCTCCGATTTTGTGCAGTAATTCCTAGGACAATAAATTCTGAAATACAAAGCTTATTGTTATTATTATTATTTTAGTTGGTATATTATTTGAGCTTATTGCTTAAGCTATTTCCTCCACATGGACTGTCTAGTCCGTATCTGCTCCCCATTTCCTCCCATCTCTGCATACCCAAATTCTAATTGTTGTTTAAGGCTCAGCTTAAATGCAATCTTAATAAAGACTTACATGATCCTTTAAAATCCATGTACTCTAACTTTTGACCTGCCATAAAACCTTTCTATATTTTAATGATCTATAACTATAGACATTCTGCCTATCTGTTATCTATTTATCTATCTATCTATCTATCTATCTATTTATCTATCTATCCATTCTGTTAATTTCCTTATGTAGTTCATAAATCTTCAGGAGAGACCGTTAAGATCACATGTTGGCTCTGAGTCTTAAATAAGATGTTATAGTCTAACAAAAAGCATGCAAAGTTAATTTTTTTAAGTACACAAATGCACATATATATAAGATTTTATGATAAAGGTATGCATTATCTATGCATGTATATTTTATATATTTGACATAAACACACATATAAATACATGCATATGCTAAAGATGTCTGTATTAGAGAGTAGAAGTCTAAACAGTATATTGAAATGCTTCCTTTTGTTTACTTTCATTCATTCTTTGTTGCTTACCTACTTACCTTTTTCCAGCTAATACATTTCTCAGCAATTATATGGTGTCTGAGCAACAGACCATCGTCACATCCTGAGAGCGATTCAGAGCTGCAATTCAGATACCTTCTTAATATTGTTCGTTTCTCAAAGAATGGTCTTGCAGGGGTTCCTAGGATTATGTCATATGTTTTTAGTCCATCGCTAAGCAATTTCTATGGTGTTAAATACTGTGAAGCACCCCAGAGTGCTCATAAATATGAGTTAAATGAGACTATAACGTTTTTTCGTTGGAGATGTTCCCTAACTATAACAGACATGTTTATTACTCCACCCATATCCTTTTAGTTCACCCACAAAAAAAATTGCAGATGGTCATATTCAAGGCCAGTGGCTTTCTGCATTATCCTGCCTCTGAGAATTATCCAGCAGTGGAAGCAACCAGAAGTACCAGGGAGTTAATGTCCCAGGAGCAGTCCTCAACAATAAGAAATGGGAGTTGGTGAATAAGTATGCCAGCTTCTTTGCACTTCAGTGGGATAAGTCTGAGATATTAAGATATGTTCTACTTCACCTCTGAGACAGTCTTTGGTGGGACTGAGCTTCCCAATAAGTTCCCCATAGTGCTAACCCCCTTATTCTTACCTCATTCCCTTCCTCTCCTTTTCACTACTTCATTGTGCTTCCTGTCCACCTCTCAAAGAAACACATGGGCCAAAATCTTGTCTTGGCATCTGCCTTTGGGGGAATCTAAACTCATGCAGTTAATACCCTGGAAAGCAGACCATTGTGATGGCATTCTGAAAAATGAGGGCAGCAAGTGCCTTCTCCTGGTGATAAGTGGGGTGGTGATAACCCTTGGGTGTCAATTACTAACTCTCACCTGTGCTGGAATATGATAGAATACAGGTGGAAGAGAAGCACTGATGCTTGAAAAATAGGGTGACAAATGGTTATTATAAGAATTATGGAATTTCTTGAGTTTTTCTAGTTGCTATAAAAATCTTGATAAACATAATGATAGGCTCATCCAGGTATCACCTTAGAATACACTGTGGGCTGGGCACGGTGGCTCATGCCTGTAATCCCAGCACTTTGGGAGGCGGAGGCGGGTGGATCACGAGGTCACGAGATCGAGACCAGCCCGACCAACATGGTGAAACCCCGTCTCTACTAAGAATAGAAAAATTAGCTGGGCATGATGGCACGCGCCTGTAATCCCAGCTACTCGGGAGGCTGAGGCAGAAGGATTGCTTGAAACTGGGAAGCAGAGGTTGCAGTGAGCCAAGATCGCACCACTGCACTCCAGCCTGGTGACGGAGCGAGATTCTGTCTCAAAAAAAAAAAAAAAAAAAAAAAAAAAAAAAAAAAAGAATACACTGTGAAAGTCAGAATACCTCCGTGGCAGGGTTAAAGAGACCCTCATCTCCTGCACTTAGAGGCAAGACTATAATGAAGTTAGGCCTGAAATTGGATCATTATGGTTGTGGCGTTAACAAGGATATTCAGTTTACAGCTCCAGCAAGTTGTCCATGTAAAAGTTGGGTCTAATAGGGAAGGAAAGGGAATTTGAGACCCAAGATAAAGACAATTAGGTCATCCACGTGAGAACCTGTATCCCCAGAATCACCTGAATCCTCCAAGCTGATAGAAATGACACCTTCTGGCTGCTAAGAAAGAACAGCCTCCCTGTGCCTAGAGCGTCTACAGAGAGTTCACATAAAGCAGATGCCTCACAAAATAAATTCTCTTTCTCTTCACAACTTGCCCCTTCTCCTCTTACTATTTCTAGTCCAATAACTAGGATCCGTTTGCAGCATGGCTTTAATGGGAAGGTACCGTTTTTGCATGGGATGGGAAGAAATTGAGTATTCAAGAAATTCATCACAGGTCCTGGTCAATATGAACTAGCAGGAACAGAGAGAGTATATATGAGAATGAATAAAGGTGTTGACACAGGAGACCCAAAATACAAGGCTGGATAGAGGAGTGGTTGTTATCATTGTGTATTTTTTAGTAGCATCAGATTTAACCTGCTGGCAAGGATATCTGAGCCTGTATAATTCATTGATGGGATAGCTGCTTGAAGGATTGGTGATGATACTGCCCTGTAGTAAATGAGGTGAAGTTGAAAATGCCTGGCAATGAGACGGGAATAGAAAGCTCGACTAGGTGGGCATCGTAGATTGGATCAACTAAGCAAGGTTAGCAAACCCACCAGCCAGCTATATTCAACGGGAAGGGCCCTGGGGACACTTCTTTCAGTAATGAAGGATGCACAGTGAGAAGAATAAGACATCAGTGGGCCCAGGAATGTTCTCCTCTGGAGATTTTTTTTTGTTTTTGTTTTCTTTGAGACAGAGTCTCTCTCTGTTGCCCAGGCTGGAGTGCAGTGGCACAATCTCGGCTCACTGCAACCTTGGCCTCCTGGGTTCAAGTGATTCTCCTGCCTCAGCCTCCCAAGTAGCTGGGATTGCAGGCAAGCACCACCATGTCCGGTTAATTTTTGTATTTTAAGTAGAGACAGGGTTTCGTCATGTTGGCCAGGCTAGTCTCAAATCCCTGACCTCAGGTGATCTGCCCACCGTGGCCTCCCAAAGTGCTAGGATGACAAGCATGAGCCACCACGTCTGGCCTCCTCTAGAGATCTTGTTTGATGGTGGAGGGGCTGCTTTGAAACTAGGATATTTAAGTTCAATAGGAAGATAAGATTGTAAAACTTTTTTTTCCTAGAAAACTTTTTGTGGCCATTTTTTACATAGTTTTACATAGTTATTGTATATATTTAATTTTGTATTTGCTTTTTGATTTAATGTTGCAGTATACACAATTCTATGTTCCTACAGTGTCTTTGAAAGATAATTTTAGTCTCTAAATAACACTCCTTTAAACTTATTATATTGACCTAAGTATCTTATTTTTAACATTTAAGCTGTATGATTCTATAATACTGAAAATAATGTGATGGATACTTTTGTCATCTAGTGTTCCCATGTTTTAAAAATTATTTTCTTAAAGTACTTTTCAAAATATAGCATCAGGTATTCAATGATATATTTTTAAGGCTCCTAGAACATACTATACATTATTCCCAAAAAGTTTGAACAAATTTACATCACCAAGCACAACATATGAGTGAGTTTCTCAGCATCATTGCCAGAAATGGGTATTTTCTTGGATTTATTTTTTCTCATTTAAAAAGAAATTTGGAGCACATAATTTTACATCAATCTTTATTTGCTCTTGAAGATGACATGACCCAACTCTCTTCCTTATCTATCAGAAATTTTGGAGCCAGGAAAACTTAATCAATTGTCCAAATATCAATGACAGTGATTAATGACAATGGTTAATGACAATTTCTGGAGGTTAGTTTTCCTATCCGGATCTTTTACTCACATTATGCCACCTCTGTTTGAAGTTTTGATCTGCCTATGCCCAGTGCTTGAAATTTTTTTTGGTGTATTTTCCCAATATAATAAATTATTAAACATGAGAATAATATGAGAATAATATTGGAATAAAGACGTGAGGCAAAAGAAAATTGTGCTGACACCCTTTATAAAATACTTTCTACAGGCAAGTAAGGTGGCCCACAACTGTAATCTCAGCACTTCAAGAGGCCAAAAAGGGAGGATCACTTAACTCCAAGAGTTCGAGACCAGCCTGAGCAATACAGCAAGACCCAGTCTCTACAGGAGTTTGAGGTTTCAGTGAGCTATGATTGTGCCACTGCACTCTATCCTGGGTGACAGAGTGAGACCTGTACTCCGAAATGTTTTAAAATATATTTTCTGCAGTTCTTTATAGATCACTGAGAGGGCCCTCTCTCTTGTTGCAAGGAGTAAAATCACTCAGTTTTGTAGTCTTTTATTCAGCTTCTGGGTATACATTTGAATGATTCTCTTGAAATAAAAGTGATAGGCATATTCCCCCCTACTTTCCTCTGCCCATTTCTTGCAGCCTTTTCTAGTGTCCATCTTCTTTCCACAACCCCTTAACTTGTTACTTTGCCTATCCCCACCCTACCTGTCTGTATAGTATCCGGCATGCATACATTGTAACAGGGCAGATTGTAAGTGTTCAGGATTCAGTCCCCTGGATTGCTTTTCCTACTTATAACATCAGTACTGTACTAGTTCTTGAGCCAGTCCTATTATTGTCAGGTCCTCTAGCATTCACTTATCTAGAGTCATGTCTCTAGATGGGATCCAGAGTCTAGCTGTTACAGAATGGTTTTCTTTAGTTGTCTTTATTCTTCTGCCCACTACAGTCTAGAACCTGGGATTTTTTTTTAAGCTTATCACTTATAAAATTTCTTTTACCCTACTGCTAACTCATTATTTGTCCAACCAATGGAATAATGCTTTAGTCTAACTTTTCTTTATATTTTTTCTTCGTTCCTATGTGTTGCCTTGACACAACTTCCAATATTGGACTGTTTATTTGGGGCTGCACCTAACTTCTGCCAACCCTTTCCCCGGAAGCCTCCTCTAAGCTAAAAGCCTGGATTATGCTGTTTACAGATAGATCTTCCCAAACCATAACAAAGCCATCCTGACTCCTCTATCAGCGCCTCTCCAGTTGGATGGGTTCCATCTGCTAGCTTCAAATTCTGGAACTAGGACTGTATTAGTCAACATTCAGAGCAGAAAATAGAGTACTCTAGGTATTTCAAGTAAAATGGGCTTAAAGAAATAATTGGGGACAATGACAGAGCAGGGAACATAAAGGCAACTTTAGAACTACTCAGTTGAGAACAAACAGGTGCAATTCAGGGACCAGGGAGCCACCAGAATGCTGAGGCTGGCCTTTGCAAAAGTCCCTTGACCCTCACATTCCAGGACGTTCCTTTGTGTGTCAGAATCAATATCAAGAAAGCTGCACATTGTGCACATGTACCCTAAAACTTAAAGTATAACTGAAAAAAAAAAAGAAGATAGCTTCCATCTCATTTACCTTCTAGATCTTCTGAAGGCACATCAGACTGGAGAGACCTAATTCCTCTCTAGAACCCTACCTGTAAGAAAGTGTAGGAAATGCAGCCTTTAACTTTCTGGCTCTGTAGTGCAGGGAAGAACACAGGAATGGGCTAGAAATGGGTGCTGAGTGACAATCAATCATATCCAGTCTAATGACTGCAGATTTGGCCTCCTTCTTTCTTCACTTCTCTGCCCTTCTCACCGTGTAAGCCCTCCTGACCCTCACTCTGCTGGAAGGTCAATACCCCCACTCCAATCCCAGGTCACTCCTCTTTGCCCCTCATTCACTCTTTATTAGCAGTACGTAATGCTTCATGCCCAAGTCCAGTCAAATGTCTTTCACGATAATTTAAGGAGGACCAGCTTCATGTCAGGAATTCAGAATTCCTAGCTTGTAAGAAATTGTTGTTCTCCCTCCAGTAGCCTCACTTATTCCTCTTTTATTAAACAATCAAGGAAAAACAAACTTGAAACATGCCTCTTCTCAGACACCATGAGCCTCAATTTAATTCCAAATGTTTAATACACAGTTTAAGGGGACCCAAGAAGACACTAAAGCATGTACTGCATGGTAATTGAGTCCATTAAGGCTGCTATATTATTATTTTTCTCTGTTGTATGTGCATCTGCCCCTAGGTGTTGTCCAGATGCCTTTACCAAATTGTTCATTTCACGATGTCCTTCCGTATTGTTCATCTGAACATTCAAACATGAGTGTTTCTACTATCCGCCTCAAAAAACTTCCGCAATGATCTTGCTTGCCTAGACAGGCTTAAAGGCTCATTCACAAAGTACAAATATTTGAGGCTTGAGTATGTTTTAAATTCTTTTTAAAATCTTATTTTCTTTAGAGTTCATGCATATCCCTTTACTTAAAAAATGACACTTTGTATATTTGAATGTGTGTCTTGTTTAAGCAATTATGTGCAGTTCAATTGAGAACAATAACAAAATTGCCTGTAAATACATGGGCAAGGTATGAACAAGAAAAACAGAACCACTGAAAAATATCCAGGGTGATGTTTCTTATATATTGGTAATGTGAATTAAACATCTGTGGGCTATATCCACACACATACACTCTGCAGTGAAGGATCAGGTTAACTCAACACCCAAAAGGCTATGAAATATCAGGTGTTTCTTTTACTTAAAACCTGGTATAGCATTAAGCCTAGGTTACAAGCCAAAACGTCTATAGATGCCAGGAAAGTGACCTAAATGAGCGAAGTTGAGGAGGCGAAGTATGAAATATTAGAGACAGTCATTCGTACTGAGGGTTAGTAAAGAATGAAGGGATTGTGGTGTGCAGGAGAGTCCTATTTGCTCCAAGGGATTAACTGCTACCCAGGAAGCCAAGATCACTATTGCCAGAGCTTTCTTTTTTATTTTTTTGCAAGAGAAGCCCAAAGTGTGGATTTTGGAGGGAAATGTTTTAATCTCTAAATGTTGTTAATTAATGCAGTTATAAAACAACAACATTACCACAGCAGGCGAACATACCTATACCAAGTTGGGATCCTAGCCTAAGGAGACTAGGTTTTGACTGCATTCTGAAGTTCTCACTGGACTCTAGGAAACTCCGGAATGAGGGAGGACCATATCCAGGAAGAACAATTAATTGAGGAGCTGCAGGTAGGGGCTGCTGTGAGCCGCTTTCATCCCCTGGCGCATTCCTTCAAGTCTCTAATGACATTTCCTCCAGAAAGCCTCCTCCAACCAACCCCACCACAAACATAGACACACACACACACACAAACACACACACACACACACACACACACACACCCCAGACTAGGTGAGATGCCCCTTCATGTTCCCAACGTGACCTTGACTTCCATTATCACAGTTATTTTTAAGTTATTGTTACTATTTGCTTGGCTGTTTATCTTCAGTATGCAGGGCCTTTGTTTATCCAGCCCATAATTTTATCCTCAGTCCTTAGAATGAGGCTAGCATAGAGCAGATCCTTAATAAACATTTCACGAGTAAATGAATCATATGTAAATGATGAAATACAGACATAAATAGCTATCTTGTTCTATTGACAAAAGTTTCCTGGACCTACACAGCATACATAGAAAAGGATGACTACTGTATACAAGAAAAATAAAGTAGTATTTAAAAAGCTGTGTTTCAGGGCTGAAAGATCAAGTGATTAAAACTGATGTAATCAAGTTATAGTTGCTTGAATCATATTCATTTTAATTTAGGTTTGACTTTCCTGTTTGTGGTACCATGAGGCCCATTATTTTACTTGGCCTCATCAGTCAGTTTGTTTCTAAATTGGAGTAAGTTTTTTTACTGCCTAACTGAGTGCCCAATTATTTCATTGGCCAAATTTGTATCAAAAGTGTTTTAGAGATAGTTCTGGATCTTTCCTCTTCCTTGAAAGTGCAAAGTGAGGCTGCCTTAGTCAGTACCCATATGCAGTAAGTGAAATAAATTATTACTCAGGGAACCCTCAGGTTCATTTCATAGGACTCATTTTTGTGGCAATTACTACAGTAAGTATTTGGAAATATACATGCACAGCATTTTATTGTCACCATTGGACCATTCAGCTGACCTGATTTTCTATTCCCGCACTTATTTGACAATGCGACTAACTGGCCCAGTTGTATCAAAGATTACACTTATTGTTTTAGAGAAAACAGTTTTGAATCATTGTGACAGCTTCCTGCAAGTTTCGAAATCAAATTAATTGAAAAAAAATGTTTGAATCTCAGTCACTTCCCTTATGGGTTAGGATCCAAAGCACTAAATAAAATCAGAGAGAGCTACTTCAGTTGTTCTCTAGTGATTTATGTCCTAAATGAAAGGAAAAAAGTGGCAACAGGTTACCAATCCTGTTGTTTCAGAAAACATATGCAATTAAATTGTATGCTTTATGGCCCCAGATCATGCTAATATCATTTAATAATAATAATAAATAACCATAACACAGAGAAGACTTAAAGTGCAAATACATTTGATTAAACCAACAAAGCTAGTTCCAAAACAGCTGTTGCCATAATCTAGGCATGTGGGTCCCAAAATGAATTGTTAGGAAGAAAAAAAAAAAGTAGTTCACACTGTTGCTTCACATGGTTTATTAGCTGCTGTTATGAGGAGCAGCGTTGATTAGAATAATTATTTAGTGCTTCAGTTTCTGTCCCCTAAAGCTTCCCAAAATATGTGTCCCTAACTTCACTTAAGATGAACATTTTATCTAGTCTAACAATCAATGCAGATTGTTTCAGAATCCATTCTGCTGCCACAATTGGTAGTATGTGAGAAGAGGGCATAGCATGGTCACATTTGGCTGCCATGAATAAGTCTGGCTTAAATTCCTTGTCTAAGGAAATCACCTTGAGCAAAATGCATGAATATGTCTGGCACAAAAAAATTATAGAAAAGAAAACTAGAAACAATTGTCTTTTAGCTCATAACATTATCCAATACTACAACCTTGTTCCTTAATTAAAGTTGCCAGTGTTCAGAACAATTATAACAGAATTATTATAACAATTATAATAGATAATTGATGTATTTAGCACTCAATGGATTCCATTATTCAGTGCCTTAAGCTACCAACTGGGACATGGGACAGTTCATCGGATAATTTTGGTTATCTCCATTCAGCTGTGTGGATGTTAGGGGTCAGAATAAGTGAAACAGTTTGGCTCATCTAGAGTTTAGAATTTTTTTTTAATTCTGTAAGTTTCACTTCTAAGAATCCTTTTCCAGTAACTTTATGTAACTTATGAAAAATTGCTAGAAAACTACTAAAATCAGGATTAAAATACTTACATGATTATTAAAAGTAATGATCCTTTATGTAATTAAGCACCTTCATCGCTGTGTATTGACACCATCCAATAGAATGTATTGCTTTACTTTGTTTAAATAATACAGTTAATACAGATTCTTTATGTAGCACATGTGAAACACAAGACACATCAAAGATGCTCTAAATAAATCTGCTTTCTCACACTTCTGAGTCATGTCAAATTGGATAAAGTGAGAATGAGACTGTATAATTCATTGTGCAAACTGGTTCAATTTCAGAGTGAAATTGATAATGACTTCAGGAAAATCACATACACTAGGACTGTTTGAGGCAAATGAGGCCAGTTCTAGGAAAGCTAGAACTTTCTTCCAAAACATGTATAGTTTTCCCCTTTTCCTCCTTGTCATGTCTTTTTGATGATGCAGGCTACATTTGTACTTAGAATTTTCTCAAGTTATGTTGATGATTCTGTGCTATTTTCTTCATCCCCTGTGATAAAAATCAAGCATTAATAGGTGGCTGGTGGGGATTCGGGTTATAGACTGTGACAGCGTGAGTGCCTGCAGCCCAAGCAGCAATCACACTCTCAACCTCATTGTCAGTTGCAACTGACTCTCATTAAACGAACTAACTGTTCACTCTAGCAGCACTTCACAACTTTACATGATATTTTATGATTAAGCTTCTCTAAACACAGCTACGTATTGTAACCTCCAACTTTAAAGGGAGACACAGGGAGAAGTTGATGTTATACTGAATAAAAGCCAAAAAGTCTATGAGCTTTGTTTTTCTTTTCTAGAAGCTTTGTTACCAAAGCTTCTAGATCTCTATGCAAAGACTTCCACTGGGTCCTGAACACCAAATGTCAATGAGTCATGATGACTAATACTAGGTGGTGTTTATGCTTTGGCCTCTTTGCTGTATCCTGTAGGCTGGCAGAAATCAGGCCAACTGAGTAATTGCTATAATGCATTCCCTTTTCATAATATCTGCACTGAATCTTTGTTGCTTCGCACTTCAGTTTGCATTCCAGCATTCTTTCATGCCAAGCCTGGTGATTACTTTGAGTCCCTGAGCTACAGGCATAATTATCTCTCAAGAAGACATTGGGGACTCTTGAGAGGAAGCCCGAGGAAGATGGAGAGAAGAATACTAGATGAAGGATTAAGGTATTTCTTAGGTGGAGTAAGTAGCAGTGGGGAAGAGGAGTAGGTGATGTTCATTTGCCAAGTATTTAGAGAGTCGGGGACCTGATACTTAAGCTTTAATGTTGACCAGAGGTATGGTCAACAGAGCTATTTAAAAAGTTAAATAGCTGAATATCTCTCTATTCATGGCCTAGAGAAGCTTTGTTATTTAGATTTAGATGTTACTTTGTTTTAATTCAATTACAAATGATCATGTTTGTCGATCAGTTTACTCATGATTTGTCCTAGTTTTGAGGGAAGATCAGATTCCCAGATGTCCTCAAAGATCGCTTTCACTGATAACAGTGAGCAATTATGCTATCCCTAAAACTTCCATAAGGAGTACTCTATGGCCTTTGAAACCACATCATTGACTAAGTGAAACAATAGAGTTTCTGTAGCCCAAGAGAGCAAAGCAGAGTTCATTTAGCTACAAACGACCATTGAATGGCACTAGAGATAAAGAAAAAAGTATATCACACGAAAAATAAATAAATAAATGATAAGATGTTAGGTCAGTATGATTTCATGATCATTGCAGAAAAGTAAACAAAAACCGTTTGATTATTTACATTTCTGGCTTGCTTCAGTAATGTGTCATCTAGTCCCAGTTCTGTTTATAGGAAACATTGCTTTTGTAATAACATGCTTATAATGAACAATAAAATCCATGAAAAAGGATTTCATTGCAGAATAAACTTGTAGATTCAATACCCTCAGAAGCATTCTCCGCAATAGCATCTCAGAAACAAAATTATGCTGGGTTTTTTAACAAGCCACTTAACGTATTTATCTTCCAAGGCATTGGGGAAAAAATCAGGAACCAATCATTTTCTATTTTACTACAGGGTAATTTATTACTTACTATGCTAAGTGTTACCTATCTTTTCCCAGTAAAACTAAAAATAGGACTGTCTCTCAAACATTGACATATACGATTAGGCTAATACAGTAATGTGTGTGCTTTTTATTATAAACTAAGTTACTGTAATCCAGAATACAGTTTGTGTATGGCAAACAGATAAGGACCATATGACTGTGGGGTGACAGAGTAGGGTTTTGTATTTAGAACAGACATTGCATCTGTAAAGCTTTCTTTTCAGAAATGTAGTTAGCTTTTTTATGAACTAGTAAATATAGTATACAGAGCACCTAGGGAATTTGCGTATAGCCACATTTATTCCCACACGTCTCTGGGAATCATAAATGGTTGTCTTCCTCCGAAATGGATTAGGACAAATTACATTAGGACATGATTGTGAATCTGATTAAGGTGGAACACAGTTGGTTTTTTTTTTTTTTTTTCCGCCCCTTTGGGATGACCATGTTTTTATATAACAACCAGAAGACGAAGAAGCCTTTGGCAAGATGTTTCAAAGACATGTTTTCGTATGCACATAAAAAAGAATTTTCATGTTAATTCAAAAATTGGCCCATGACTTTAATTTCTGTATCTTGCCAAGACAAAGCTTGAAGCACAACCTGCTCTAGTATAGAACACATTTCAGATACTGATTTGGGTTTCAATGAAAGCATGTAAAAAAGGAATTTCCATGCATAATTTCTTCCAGGAGAGGAGAGCTGGGTGGATAGGATTTTCTGTTGACTAAAAATCTTTAAGAAAGAAAGAAAAATTGCTTCATAAATGGTGTCAATATTTTACAGTGATTAAACCTTTCCACACTATTTTATGAAATAAAATGCCTACCATAAGACAATGCTATAACCTTGATTACAAAACAAAGACAGATGACAAATATTTGACATTGACTAGAACTTGGAAGATGGACATTGCTAAGGGAATTTGGATGATAAGAGAATATGAAATCTACTATGATCTATTTTCCTGAAAACTTAAGCCATTGAAACTGAAGTGAGCTATTTTTTAAGTTGTGGATAACATAGGTTTTATACACTAATGTGTGTAGGAGAGAAGGGTGCGTACTGATTCATTCTTGGTCTTCTCATTGCCTGAATGCTAAATCAGTGATTCTCACACTTTATTCTGTTGACTAAAAATCTTTAAGAAAGAAAGAAAAATTACTTCATAAATGGTGTCAATATTTTACAGCAATTAAACCTTTCCACACTATTTTATGAGATAAAATGCCAACCATAAGACAATGCATATAACCTCAATTACAAAACAAAGACAGGTGACAAATGTACTAGACAAATATACTAGAATCATCCAGGAACTTAAAAAAATCCCCATATCTAGGCCACCCCCTCAAGAACAATTAATCAGAATCTCTAAGAATAGTATCAGCATTCAATAAACAATTCACAGTTGATTCCAATATGCAGCCATATTTGTGGACTAGTGCCCTAATCTCTGTGTTACCAAAATGCCAGGGTACAGTCTAGATTCTGTTGCTCACTGCACAGAAAGCCAATCACTGAGAGGAGTACTGCCAGGGAAGAGGGCTTTTATTAGAGGGACATCAACCGGGACAATGGGGGATCAGTCTCAAGTCCATCTCTACTCAATTGACTAAAACTGGGGGGTTTATATAGCTGGGAAGGTGGGAAAACAGGAATTAGGGAGGGGCAAGGAAGCCACCACGATGGATGAGGGGGCTGGCGTCCCATTGTTTGGGTGCAGTGATCTGAGGAGTTTCAGTCCCTTGCCTGAGGGTCATTTTTCTGTGGAAGGAACTCGGATGAGACAAATGTGAGCTTTGAGTTTTAAGACCAGGAAGGTCAATTTCTATATTTATTCAAAAAACCCATAAATATCATGTCTATGGGACAACCGGGCCATTTTCATCACCATAATGCAGCAACTAGAGAGTTAACTCTTAGCATAGCAAGATCCTCTCAAACCTGTTTTCCCAGCTATACGCAACATTTATTCTGATTGGCTGATAACCACACTATGCTGTTTATTAAATATATTTTGAAGATTACCCCTGCTGTAATTCTCATTAATATATGGTGTATGTACAAGGATCTCTGCCCAATCTGAAGGCCACAGAGGGATAGATTTTCCTGATTCTTACTGTTGGACCACTTGTTCTTTAAAGACATTAATTTTATCACAAATTCTAGACAATTTGGCTAGAACTCTAAAAAATTGTTTTTTTTATAAGCCCCAATTTCCCTTGAGGGTTGGATTCTACTTTTTATGGTAGTAGCCATTAGTTATGGCCCTATTCTTCAGCAGATTTGTCAACTAGAGGTAAGGCATTGCTGTCCATCTTGACCCTTGACATTTTCAAGCATCTACACTTTTGCTATTACACTCAAACATTTGATTGGACATCCTTAGGTATGTCTTGGTATAGTATCTATGACCCATCTACTGACCCATAGAGGTCAGGACCGCCACATGAAATTGTACAGATTGTGCTCAGCACAATTGTAGGAAGTACCATTCACATCTGTAGTAAATGTATATGTTTTCTCTGTTGTTCAACAATCTTTTCCATGTCATTTTGGATATAGTATGTTGAACCGAATGTTCCTTCTTGGGTAGAAGACCCTAGAGGTTGACCAGTGTCTCCAGTCCCAGCCCATCTTGACTGCTAGCTTACTCCATGACCCTACTGCTGAGATTTCACTGGCCTTACAATCCAGGCCTCCTGGTTGGATATAAAACACTGGAAAAATAAAACATTTATTTTGGATAAGAACTTAGAATATTTTTCTTGCTTATTTGCACAGGGCACAGATGGTGAATAAGACAAATTTATAACAAGTAAACATAATAATTAATTAAATTTTCATACAGAAACCAGCATAATATACACCCTACAAAAATGAAGGCAATGAAAAACAATTTCACTTTCAAATATTTTTTAAAAATGATCTCCAGCTACTTAACTTGCCACCCAAATGTTTGAAGATAGAAAATTCTGCATTAAGGTTTGCTTGTGATACCAAGTTTTAGCCGCTTGGACCATAGACGCTATACCAATGCTCCTTCAAATAGCAGGTCAGTAAACAGTCTATGGTGAACTAACATTGTAAATTAGTGCATTTCTTTCTTCATTTAGAAAGTCTTGTGAAGAAAAGGTTAGCTCAACAAAACAGTGTGTCTATGATATAGTCCATTTATATTCCAGCATAAGCTCCTATCTCACTGAAGACTACTAGCGAAGAGTTTATAGAAAAGTACTGGGTTGGCCCAGTACAGTGGCTCACCCCTGTAATCCCCCACTTTGGGAGGCTGAGACAGGTGGATCTCCTGAGGTCAGGAGTTCGAGGCCAGCCTGGCCAACATGGTGAAACACCGTCTCTACTAAAAATACAAAAATTAGCTGGGCGTGGTGGCATGTGCCTATAATCCCAGCTGTACGGGAAGCTGAGACAGGAGAATCGCTTGAACCCGGGAGTCGGAGGTTGCGGTGGGTGGAGACTGCGCCATTGCACTCCAGCCTGGGCAACAAAAGCGAAACTCCATCTCAAAAAAAAGAAAAAAGAAAAGAAAAGTACTGGGTCAGGGAGACTATACCTGTGTTCCTAATGACCTTGACAGACACTTATTGCTTTACTTAAAAAAAGATATAAATGTATGAAGACCTTTTACATACTAGGCACTGTCAAACATACACAGATGAACATGATATAATCCCTGCCCTGGGGAAGTTTTAACTAAGTTCTAACCTAGTCATGTCTTGGCAATAAAGCAGTCTATTTATAATAAAGGAAAAACCCCAATATATTTAAAGTCAGGTAGGGATACGGCACCAGTGAGTTAAAAATAGACACTTTAAGATTAAGAATTGTCTTCTGTTTAATCTTGTGAATTAGAATATTGACCCTTTGAAGTAATTAAGCTAAGAACATATATTAAGCCATTGGCTAAAATTATATGTAGCAGGCATATAGCTTCCTACTGTGATTAATATATTCTGATTTTTTTTGTTCAGGAAGTTGGCATACAAATTCAGTCATGGTTTATATTACACAGATATATATATAAATTTTAGAAGCTATTCAAATGGTTTAAAATATTTTCTCCTCTTTTCTTTATCTTGGCCTATCACAAACACACATACATTATATGCATATGTATGTGTACATGTGTGTGTATATATATATTTATAATCATCTGATTAATTAATGTGCAATGATATAATGTAAAATTACCTCTATAGGGGCTAGATAGTCAAAGTCTATTTTTCCAAATGGGCTGTAAAATATACTGTATATAATTAACATATATTAATTATCCCTTTCACCAGACTGGAATCTCCTTAAGCATAAAACTTATGTTTGATTTGTGTTTGTAGTTTGCATAGTGTCTAGCATGCTATTTAGACCATGATAGCTCTTTGATTAATAGATGTTCTATTCTGCTACTAGTATTACTGCTGTTAGTAATAACAATAACAGTTTACATTACTGATCCCTTACAAAATGTCAGGATTTGTGCTTTCTTATGTATATTAAGTCTTTCAAGTTTAAAAATATTTCTATTTCTATGTCCCATTACTCTTCACATTTTTCAGATAAAGAGCTTGACCAAGGTTCTAAAAATGTAGAGCCAGGATGGTAAAATTGATTTGAAAATAATTACAGAAATAAAACTCCTTTAAGTGGCTACCTTCAGATAATTCAGTTCTAACAACACTCAGTGACAATATCTCTGCCTAGTTTCTAATTTCAGGAAGTATGAAATGATTGGCCTAGCTTAACTCAGCTGCTTACCCCTTAGACCTATGACTATCAAGGAAAATAAACAATTATAGTTTTTGCCGGTCCGACATCCCTTCTGTCTTCTTTGAGCAATAGCATCTCGATCTTTCAGTGAATAATCAGCCTTCACAGCTTTCCATTCATGTCCCTAAATTCCTAGGGTAGACCCTTTGCTGAATCAGTGTCAGTCCCTGGAAATTTGCTGCAAACCTTCACATAGCAGTGTGCTCTGTCAGCTCTGGCTGTTGGTAGCCACATTTGTCAGTAGGAAGGAAGAACCTACCCAAGAACACAGTCAACATAGAAATGAAAAGGAAATACAGATTCCTCTCAGTGTCCATTGAGCACATGCATCTAGCTATTCCTGGATCTACGGTAGAATTTCAGCCTGCCTGACTTTCGTTTCTGTCATGAGCAATCAAAGATGGATGAGTGTGGTGGACTTGGGGATCTACTGCCCGCCTTCAGGGAGTGTGGACAGTAGGCAGTCTCCAGTGACAGTTCGTTCATGGTCAGCTTCAGCATCAAGGAACCCACTTTCCTGAGGTCATGCCCTACCCAGAGCAGCCCAAATCAGATGATTATGCAGAGTGAAAGTGGAGGGGCCTAGCCCTTTGGGCCCAGAATGGGGCACTTGGACAGTTAGTACTCACTCCAGAGCTCCTTGCAGAGTTGGAGACATGCTATTATGCCTCCTTCACTGTTGAGCTTTCTCCACATGCAGCCCTGTCCCCTCCTCTTGTCTTTACAGATGTTAATCTCGAACCCACATCTTGCACTCCAAACTCTCAGTGTCTGTCTCCAGAAAACCCACCCTGCCATAATAATAAACAGATGTCATTAAATACAAAGTCTATGTAGCAACATAGAAAAACCAGGATAAACTTTCAGATTAAAAATCAGCATGTAGATTTATAGTTATGAATGAGGGGAGGATGGGAACAAAAAGGCAATACGGACAATTAAAGATAGCTGTGTCAGGCTGAAGGGTAATTTTCTAAAGTTATGTTGTTGTTTATATGCTAAAGAACCCTTCTAAAAAACACCTTACTGAAAGTTTCCATAATACCCTAAGCCATCAAGATATTCCAAGGAATGGATAAACTTATATTTCTTCTACTCAAAAATTAATATAATCTAATCTGACATTTAGACATTGGAAATACAATGGAATTATTTGGTGAATAAATTGATCATTTATTTTCTGGACTTTGATATGTAAATGTTCAAATTAGTATAGGTTAAATGTAGTGATGAAAGGCAAGGATAAACTTTTAATGAGCTTAATAATGGTGGATACAACAAAGGGCTTCAGCAAAAAAGAAAACAAATGGTAAGAGGAAAATTAGGGCAAGATACTGGCTCAAGGAATTCTACAACATATTGATGGATTTTATTAAAGTTTTAAAAATGAGTTTCATAATAAGCTAGTCTAAATTCTATGATTATATTTCCATTATTTATTTATTTTATTTTATTTTATTTTTTAAGAGATGGGGGTCTGATCTCGAATTCCTGGGATCAAGGGATCCTCCTGCCTCGGCCTCTCAAAGTGCTGGGATTATGGGCTTGAGCCAGCATGGCAGGCCACATTCCTTTTAATGCATTCAGAATTTCCTCCATGTGTTTCCTCAAAGTCTAATCCCACGGTTTGAGAATCATGATAAAGCAAATTCAAGGACACATTTAAAAAAATTTTTTTTTCAATTAAATTCTGGGGTACATGTGCAGGGTGTGCAGGTTTGTTACATAGGTGAACATGTGCCATGGTGGTCTACTGCACTTATTAACCCGTCACCCAGGTATTAAGCCCAACATGCACCAGCTCTTTTCTCTAATGCTCTCTCACCTCCACCCTCCCCCAATAGGCCCTAGTAAATGTTGTTCTCCTCTCATGTCCATGTGTTCTCATTGTTCAGCTCCCACTTATAAGCGAGAACATGTAGTGTTTGTTTTTCTGTTCCTGCATTAGCTTGCTGAGGATGATGGGTTCCAGCTTCATCCATCTCCCTGCAAAGGACATGATCTCATTCCTTTATATGGCTGCATAGTATTCCATGGTGTATGTGTACCACATTTTCTTTATCCAGTCTATCATTGATGGGCATTTGGGTTGATTACATGTCTTTGCTATTGTGAATAGTGCTGCAATGAACATACTCATGCATGTATCTTTATAATAGAATGGTTTATATTCCTTTGGGTGTATATGCAGTAATGGGATTGCTGAATCAAATGGTATTTCTGGTTCTAAATCTTTGAGGAATTGCCACACTGTCTTCCACAATGGTTGAACTAATTTACATTCCCACCAACAGTGTAAAAGCATTCATATCTCTCCACAGCCTCGTCAGCATCTGTTGTTCCCTGACTTTTTACTAATTGTCATTCTGACTGGTACGAGATGGTATCTCATTGTGGTTTTGATTTGCATTACTCTAATGATCAGTGATGTTGAACTATTTTTCCTGTGTTTGTTGGCTGTATGTATGTCCTTTTTTGAGAAGTGTCTGTTCATATCCTTTGCCCACTTTTTAATGGGGTTGTTTTTTTCTTGTAAATTTGCTTAAGTTCTTTGTAGATTCTGGATGTTAGGCCTTTGTCAGATGGATAGATTGCAAACATTTTTTCCCATTCTGTAGGTTGTCTGTTCACTCTGATGATAGTTTTATTTGCTGTGCAGAAGCTCTTTAGTTTAATTAGATCCCATTTGTCATTTGTTGCTGCTGTTGCAATTGCTTTTGGCAATTTCATCATAAAGTCTTTGCCCATACCTATGTCCTGAACAGTATTCCCTAGATTTTCTGCTAGGGTTTTAATTGTTTTGGGTTTTACATGTAAGCCTTTTAAACATCCTGAGTTAATTTTTGTGTAAGGTGTAAGGAAGGGATCTAGTTTCAGTTTTACGCATATGGCTAGCCAGTTTTCCCAGCACAATTTATTAAATAGGGAATCCTTTCCCCATTGCTTACTTTTGTCGAGTTTGTTGAATATCAGATTGTTGTAGACGTGCAATTTTATTTGTAAGTTCTCTATTCTGTTCCACTGGTCTGTGCGCCTGTTTTTGTACCAGTACCATGCTGTTTTGGTTACTGAAGGACACATATTTGAAGAGGATAGTTATAACTACTTTGTTTTTTACCTGTGCTTCTAATAATTCTGCTTTCACTATATAACCAGGTGAACACACAGTAATAGTATTCTCTTATCAGATACCATAGTTGCTAAGGTTACTTTTCTATCCAAAAAGCAACCAAGACTTTCCTATCCTACTTCATAGATATTTTTAGAGAAGACAAGACTGCTTTTCCTTTCCTGGTTTCTTTAACTAGTGGCCTCTGGCACAGGTGTCATATTAGCTTTCTGAAATACAGATTAGGGATTCTTCTTTCTTCTTCATCAGAGTTGAAATGTTGGGCACAGTAGGATTTTTCCTAAATTTAGCAATTCATGAGGAACAGATAATAAACAGAAAGTTGTAAAGGAATTGAATAGTATTCAGACCAGTGAATATATGTGTTGAAAAATTGATTTATTCCATCTTCTATGACCTCAACTCATCAGTATCAATGTAGTCACTGGGTCCTACAATATTTAAAGAAATGTTTCACTAATTGCAATTCTGGATCCTAAGTGTCTTTAATCATTTGAACAGACTCATTTTTGGTTGTCAAGGTAAAAGTTAATGATCCCAGGTCATTTTAATGTGTGAACAAGCCTCTTGTTACTTCCTTGGGTCATTAAAATAAGTAGCCACGGGCCATGGGAAAAAAATAGTCAAGTGCTAACAGTTCATTGTTTCATTGTTAAAAAAACAAACAAACAAAGACCACCTTCCATAGTTAAGATGTCCATTTAATACAAAATTACTTTAGACCCATGAAATTCCTAAGACAAACAGACACTTACTGTCTCCATAGTATATTTCAATGTGTTCATTTTTCATCATTTAGTCATTTCATTTCACTGTTTATCCTGGCTTAGAAACAATAAAAACTGATCCCTTTATCTATTTTTCTTATTTCAATTTTTATACAAATTTATTGATGCTTGCATTAATTTGTGATGATTTTCATAAGAAAAAGCTTTTATGTATGTTTATGTTGTTCTCATCGAAGTTACAATTGTCAGCGCCACTGAGGTTGATAGTAAAGGAATGTAAAATCTTCACGCAAGTTCTCTAGAGAGCAGCAGTTTAATAGCTGGCACCTTTACTCTCTCCTCCTGAATACTATAATGAAGGCTTAAGGGAAAATACTCAATCCTAGTAATTTTGAACCATCTTGCTTTTCCATGGAAAACAGTACATCTTAAATAATTAAAGGACAAGGGCAGAGAGCAAAGGGAAAAGAATAATTTGAAAAAAGTAGAATGTGGATATAAAAATGCTAATGCTCCCAAGTTACTTTCTTTTTTAAAATTTTAGCAAACTCCCATAATTTTTTCCCAAAGGATTTGAATGACTGCATAGTTAAATAACTGCATCTCTTTTATTGTGGGGAAATAAAACAGAGGTTTGTAAATGAGAGCTCCCGATAATGAAATACAAGCAAAGAGAAGCTTTACCAAACTACAGAGCTGTAGTTCAAGTAGAATGTGTGGTACACGTGTGATGGGAAATCGATGATATGAAGACTAGTTTTATGACTTTTGTTTTTTGTGTGTGTGTGTGTGATGTATTTATTTAATTGATTAATGTCTATATTTAATTCTATATTCACATTACATATGCAACTTAATTAATTCATCTTTCATACATACAACGACTCTCTGGGACTTGATGGAGGCAAAGAGTTATGGAACATGCTGGTCGCCCTTGCTTCTGCTGACAGTTTTCTTCTGGTTGTTCCAGCTACACCTACATGGGCTTTCACCATCACCTTAAAAATATGCGTCCCAAACTCACCCTACTTATTTTTTAGCTACACATGTTTCCTGGGAAATCTTATTTTATCTATAACTTAAAATAGTGCCTCTCAATTCTAGGCTTCTGAGTCTTTCTTCTGAACCCCAAACTCATAAATTCAACCATCTGAATATCTCCATGTAAAGGTCTTCAATATTTCAAATTCAAAATGGAGATAAACTATACTTATCTCTATCCCTACCTCCTGCTTCACCACCAAATCCTTTTCAGCCATCTCATATAATGGCATAAACATCCATTAAAATGTCCAAGGAGGAATACTGGTAAGCATAATTCTTGACTTCCTCTCTCTTAAGGTTCACATTAAATCTGGAATGAATTTATGTGGATTCAGTCTTCCTAATGTTTCCCAGATCTGTCTCCCCTCATCGTCACCATGGCCACTGGATTATGCAACAGCTTCCTAATTGTTATTTCTCATTTTGATCCCCATCTTCAGTTTAAAATAATTTTTCTTTTTTAATTTTGCTACTTAGAACCTTTAAATGACTGCTCCTTCTCTCTCTCTCTCTGTCTCTCTGTCTCTCTCTCTCTCTCTGTCTCTCTCTCTCTCTCTCTGTCTCTCTGTCTCTCTCTCTTTTTCTTTCTTTTGGTAGGAATCCCTAAAATCTCAGTTTATCATGCAAGACCGTTTATTACCCGAGCCCATCCTACCTATTCAGCATTAAATTCTTACTCCTTCTCCATCTTCTTCTGCAAGGATATAGATCTACTCTTAGCTCCCAGAACATGCCATATGGTGCTACAGTTCTGAAATTTTGTTCTCTCTCTTCCTTTTATTTGGAACTCCTTTCCGTTAACCACTATCCCCTACTACTCCACTCACCATCCATCCTTCCAAATCGGCTCACATCTGATCTCTTCCAGTGATTTTTTAGTAATCTTCAGAGTCAACAAGTTTGGCAATGAGCCCTACAGCACACTGTGCCTCCCTTTCTTCTAGTGCTTGCCCTTCTCTTAGATGGTTTAGGTGCCAGACTGTTCTTAAGGTTGTGCACTCAATAGAAAAGGGATTATAGGACTTTTCTTCTCTGAACATTCAGCACTTAACATAGTGACTACGACCTACTGGTCCCGAGTATATATCTCAATAATGGTTTGATCATAGAAGAGAGCTACATATTTTATAGAGGTGGTAAGATGTTTATTTAAAAAGGCAAAAAGGAGTTTGACTTTAAAAATAAAAGTGCTTTAGGACAATTGGTTTTCTTCCTATTCATGAAGTGAATGAATGACTTAGGCATGACAAGAGGACACAGGGAAAATGGTCTGGAATTAGAAGCTCCTGTGTATACACACATACACACACACACACACACACATATTTATATTTTGTTTGTTTGTTTGTTTGTTTTGTTTTTGAGATGAAGTCTCACTCTGTCGCCCAGGCTGTAGTGCAGTGTCGTGATCTCGGCTCACTAAAACCTCTGCCTCCTGGGTTCAAGCTATTCTCCTGCCTCAGCCTCCTGAGTAGCTGTGACTACAGGCGCGTGCCACCACGCCCGGCTAATTTTTGTATTTTTTAGTACAGACGGGGTTTCACCATATTGGCCAGGCTGGTCTCAAACTCCTGACCTCGTGATCTGCCTGCCTCGGTCTCCCAAAGTGCTGGGATTATAGGCGTGAGCCACCGCACCCGGCCAGAGCTCCTGCATAAATTGAAGGAGATGGCAAAGAGGTTTCAATTCATAAAACATAGGCGAACCCAAGAGAAAGCGCCTAGGTGAGCATATTTTACCGATGTATTTTCATCTCATTGCTGTAAAGCTATGTTAAACATGCAATCAATCTTTCCAGGTACAGTTCCAATTTTATGTATTTATATGAACATATATACACACACATATGTATACACACAACTACAACATTTATGTTTTCTATAGTCTTTGGTAAAGAACATCACATTATACTGACAACTGAACTGTAGGTATGACTGTCTAGAAAAGAGATATGAAATAAAGCATTTGTAAATACAAGAAGACTCTTGTATAACCTAGTCAAGGATAAATAATTGTGCTTTGAAGATCTGCTCTAATCTATACATCATTATTGGAGATTCAAATCCACGACATTTGAAAAACATATTTTGTGCATTTGATTACATATTTTTTTTGTGGAAAACAATTTTAAAGTTTTCCACTCTAAAATTTTGAAAACCATGTGGGTATATTTAATAAACATGTTGGACTTATATATTAATTGATCTTGAATGTATGAGAATTTGTAAACATAACTATAAAGCTGATACATTGTAGTATTTCAAAATAAAGACCATAAAATTTCTATTTATATGAAACACTCCATTGAACTATTGAAATTCTTTTGTAAACATTCAAATTGTAGTAGCGCATACCTACTTACTACCTGCCCTGTTGCTCAAAAAAGAGCACATATTCAGGAAGAAGGAAGAGAACCATTTCAAATGTTATGCTTTCTTAAAGATCCCAGTGGATGTGGTTGACAAATCAAATTTTGCTATTTTATCCATAAAAAGGGAATGATTGTTAGTTTTCGTGAATTGCTTCACTAGTTTGTATGTTGCTGTGACACCAAACATGTAATAACTCTGAGTCTCAATTCATTGGCCATAATGTGGGAAAATACAGAATGAATGGAAGGGATTTCTCAAGCCTTTCTGTCATGGCAGTTCCTTTGGTATGATTTAGGAAACCACGGGCAGTAGAAAAGCCTCCCTTTTAAATGTCAAATACAAGATTCATTTCTGTACTACTTTAATCCGAATGTCAGGGTTCTGAGCTGCAACATCAATCTCACCAGAACTTTCCAAGCTTTACGCATCAAAACTGCTGTCCTTTAAGAGAGAAATCCTGATTTGGGGGAATACCAAATATTCAATTTGCATGATGCTAAAAATCCACCCACTAAGCAGCAGGATATGTTTATGTTGATTTGGCCACTCAGAAGCAGAGTCTGAGAATAGTCTGATCTTACCATAAGAGTGGGTAATCAAATTCAGAGTATTTTCTTCTAGAACTGGAAGGTAATCTTTTTTTTTTTCTGAAACGTCTCTCCTCTCTTTTTTTAAACTTATTTTTCTACCTCCTGTTTCCTCAATATAGGACAATATTCTTTGCCCCTCTCCATAAAGCCATTCACATTTGTCGAGGTAAAATGAACAAGGTTTGCTTTTCACACTTTAAATGCCTCCCTGGAGTCACTGTGGAGTCCAATGGGCATGAAAGACTCTAGTCCATGTATGTACAGTGAAATGAAGCTCTCCACTTTCAACCCACAGAAACAAAACAAACAAAAAAAATCATATGAGAGATCTGAATAAACAAAAAAAGAAGAAAGACAACTAACAAACCGAGTAAACAAAGATCTGAATAGTGGCTCAAATTTTATGTGTTCTGCAAATTCAAGTTAACAGTGGATGTTCGCAGTGGAGTTTCACAATGTTCTGAAAACAGACTATCCCCTTGGATGCATGGAGACCTATGAGGTAATCCTCAGCCCGCACACTTAACCAGTCCCAGAGCAGAATATACAGCTCAGGTCTCCTCTGCCCAGCTGAGATGTATTAGGTGGCTGCAGACAGTGAGAAAAGTGACTAAGCATTTAGAACTGAACAGAAAAATGCCATTGGAACACAGACCCCTGGGAACATGGATTCTCTTCCTGGGTGAGAAATTCTTACAAAGAATTTTTTTTTAATGTCTATGATAAGAAACTTTCCTTTGGCATATGTATCTACAGTGAAAAAAAAAGTTCTGTGAGCATAGGAGTATGGAAAAGCTATTTAAATAGGAATTATTGAATCTGGTGGGAAAAATAAGCTTTAATCCTCAGGTACAGTATATCAAAGAATTGTTTACAGGATAATGACTACATCTCCATTTTCATGAAACTCAGGGAAGGCATCAAGAAAACTGTTTCGATTGAGTATTACAAAAACAAATCAACAAATATTCTGAAATCTGTTTCTTCAGCTACTTTAAATTATTTGGTGAAGGAGCAATTTTGTTTTTAGTGAGTGTGTGGGATTGCATATAACATGCATTGGACATATAAACAAGGATCCCCCTTTCAGTGTCTCTCTGCATTTCCCTGTAGGTATACAATGTGGATTTCAGCTTTTTGGACACTGAAAAGGTATAGTACTAAAGCTGGAGAACTAAATGGTAGTTTTGCACTGAACCTTTTAGGAGAATGTTTGGTATCATAGTGGCTTTGTATGGGGCCGGGGGAAAGGACTTGCTAAAGAGGGCGTGAGGTGTACCCAGAGCCCAGTAGGAATTCATGGGCATCCAAATCTGAAGACTCTGAAATGGAAAGCCTTTGAGGACTCTGAAGATTTCTGAAATGAAATCTGAAGAATCTGAAATGGAGCCAACATGGATGGCTCAACCCATTAGACTCTAAACTTTCTGAGACCTGAAACCTGCCTGTTCTCTTCATCACTACATCCAGATCACCTGAGCGATCATCTCATGTAGGGCACAGTATAACATGTTTGTTGAATGACATAACGAAATCATCAATGGTGACTTCTCCAAATCTACTCAGGAGAACATATTTGGTCTGCTTCTACAACTCAGAGAAAGAAATATGTAGTAGTGGTTTTCTCTCAATATTTAACAGAGGTTATGCTAACCAGGGGACATACTCATAGCTATACCAATTAGTGGAATCTGATGAGAATGAAGAAGTGTTATCAAAGCAATTCTAAAGAGGATGCAAATTTTGATACATCACTCCTGGTCTCAGAAATAAGCAAAGGTAAATACCCTTGAATAGTAAAAGTAGGAGCACAGTAGGGTTCCCACGATGAAGTGCAAATAAAAACAACTTGGTAATGGACTCCATGGACTTGCTGAAGCTGCATCAAAACTCCTAATGTGGGTAAAAATCTTATTTTCCATTTTAGTGAGTAACCCAAGAACACTATAAGTAGAAGGACACCCTTATAAATCCAGGACACCAAGAAAGACACTCATGGTAATTGATGTATTTTATGGAGTCCAGGTCTAGCTTGATTAAGGGTCCCTGTAAGCCAGCTTTAGGATGAGGACAAACTATTATATTTGTTTTACTTTAAAACTTGGCTTGAGATAGTCATTCACATATATATCTTTAATATCTGTCTTTTTCCAGAAGTTGTCCATTTTTTGGCATTGTTGCACACTTTTGAATATTACGATTTTTGTTGGCCCTTTTGAGGAGATTAATTTAAGCAATAAATATGAGTTAATAATTTTAGTTCAATCACTACTGTGGCATAAAAATGTCTTACGATGACTTTAAAAGCACCCATGTTTAATAAACAATTTACTTGTTTTTCCACAAATACTGTTACTATTAGAGTAGAAACACTGGCTGTATTCTTTTTCCTTTCTAATATATTCAAGTGGTAAAATTCCCACATGAAAACTCACAATCTTTGTTTTTTATCATTACTGTTGATATTGTGCTATAACCTTGACATTTTAGTCTGTATTATATGATGTTAATAATAATAACAGTATGCCCATTCATTGTAGCAGAAATACACTTTATAACTTGCTCAAAACTTTGAGGCATACATCTGAGCTTGGCAATTCTGGTTCTATGTATGTGAGAAGACCCCAGGGGAAACTACTGACTGTCATTTTTAGAGCCCCCAAGTTTGTCCAAATTTCTAAAGGCAGAATTATTATGCCTGATGTTTTCCAGTCTCTGTTAGTACAACAGACAAGATTGCACTGTGAACAAAAGCTGCAAATGGAACCATTCTATATTGGCTCTACCACTGAGTACATTAGTGTGTATTGACACACTTAGATTGCAAACATTTGTTGGAGAGATGTGCTTATATAACTCAATTAGTTAAACTCTGGCAAAGAAATTTAGGCAGTAAGGAACTGAGAAATGCTTACATTATATTTTAGATTAGAAACATCAGTTTCTGAGTCTTATTCTGTATACTAGATTGACTAGCCCTTTAGGGTAGAGAATGCAATATGTTTAATTTCCCTGTGTAACTTGTCAGTGCTGAGCACAGTTCTGAACAACGGTAGGTGCTGAATGAATATTTGTTGAATATAATTGAGTATTTTTGCTGTCTTAAATGAGAAGTAAAACAGAGGCAAAAAAGAAAGAATATGGAAGTGTAAACCCTTCCCCATTTTCATTATTTAGGGACTAATTATCATGTTTCTTGATGCCTTGTACTTCCTATGTCTAACTCATTTCTCTGCTCATTAGCACCTCCACCACACCAGAGGGTAGACAGGAGTTAAGAAAGTGATTATAGGGGACAATACGCAAATTAGCTATGCTAATTTGGTGGGCAGGAAGTTTGCAATTCTGAATTAGCAGAAGACTTTGGGATTACCTCTGAATTTTCACGGTTATGCACACCCCCCTATTGGGGAATGTATACAATCAAGAATATAGACTTGGTCTATAAGTCTTCAGAATAAAAATTAGCATCCACTGGCTGTCCAGCCACCTGAGTTGCAATAGGTGCTAGCACATCAGAGAAAATGGATTCAGAAGAGCTTGGCAGGCTTCAAAAGCGTAGAAGCAAAAATTGCAATCTGATTGGCAAGCAGTTTAATAAAGCAAAAGTGGAGTTACGTGTGTGTTCTATAGGATACTACAGCAGAATGCCTGGGTCAGCATTTTGTACAGCTGCAGTCTGTTAATTGTGCAAGCAAGAAGATAACCTAAAGGGTTGTCACTGTAATTTAAATTAGGAGAAACACTGAGATAAGGACCCTTACATCAGCAAAAGAGGAAGGAGTGGAATTTGGAATGTGAGGGTCACCTAGTGAATTTGTTTTATATGCCATCCTGATGGTGGGACACTCGGGGAAATGGGCTGATAAAAGGAAAAGAAGTCAATGAGAGACCAGGTCTTTTACATGTCCCATCTAAAAATAGTTCTGTTTAAAAATATTAATAAAACAAAAGGACAGAATTTAAGAACGGAAGGGACCCGGGAAATCGTCAAGTTCAAGGCTTCTCAGATTTGGCTAAGCATAAGAAGCAACTAGGGAACTCTCTTAAACATAGATCCCTGGGCCCTATTCTCAGAGATTTATTTAGCATGCCTGGATAACGGTAAGTGATATATGTGTCTGTATCTATAGATCTATGTCTATCATCTGCATATTCCTGTATATATCTATGTATGTATATATAAATCTATCCCTCTAAATTTATTTCAAACTTTATTATCTATTTTTCTATCATTTACCTATCTGTTAAAGTTTTACTGAAAAATCTGATATACCACAGGTTTGGGAATCACCCATTAATCTTATTTCTCGTATTAATTATGAAATAACTAAGATTCATAAAGACTGTGCTACAGTCAAGTTATTTTCTGAGCTATGAGATCAGAAGGAGATCTAAGTCTCATGATTCTCCGTTTAGCATCCTTTTTCCTATTCCGTGTATTAAAAGGAGATAAATGGGGAGGGAGGAATGAAGAAGGTATGCAAATATGAACAAAGTGGAATTTGGGAAACGACAGTCTAAAAGTCTTTTTTGGCAAGAGAATCATCTGACAGACAAACTTTTAGAAATGTTTTGATTTAAAGACATCTAGCATAAAGAATGCGAAGTCACATATGAGGGAAACTGAATTTTCACTCAGAGCTCACAAAGTGGCATGTACTTTCGTGAATTCATCACAATCCAGGACCTAAACCTCAGCTTTGCTGAACCAGAGATATGTTCTTTTGAAAACCTCAGGAGCAAGTGACTAGATTTACGCTAACTGAAATTCATAAAATCCACAAGTATAATCTAAGATCGCAATGTATTAGTTTAAAATGAAAAGGAGATCAGACTAAAGGACTAGTAGATGATGTTTGCATACGCAGTACAGTCTCTTCTTGTAATCATATTTGGTTGTCACAAGCAGCAGGTTGCTAGGATGCTGTGAAATGCAAAGAGAAAATTATGTAACTCTATTAAAATGTTACCTGGCTGAGTTCCCAGAAGTCTTCTTCACCTCGTTGCACTGTTGTTGACTGCAGATGGGACAGTGGATGGGACAATTTCTGTAGGTTTCTCAGGACACTCCTGGGCAGGAATTATGAAAAGAATCACTAAGGTTCACTATTAGTTTCCTCCTCTTTTAAATGTTGGCTTCTTTTACTCAGCAAAATGCTTTTAAGGATCATCTAATGTTGTGGCATGTTTTAGTACTCCATTCTTTGTATTGACAAGTAGTACTCCTTTGGGTGGATGTACTATGTTCATTTATCCACCCATCAGTTGATGGATATCTGGATTGCTTTTACTCATTAGACATTATAAACAGTGCTACCATGAACAGTCATGTCTTGGTGCAGACGTACTTTTTCATCATTCTTGAATAGATAGCTAAGAGAAGAATTGCTGGATCATGTGGTAACTCATTTTAACATTTTTAGAAACTGCCAAGCTATTTTCTAAAGTGGCTGCACCATTTTCGATTCTCACTACCAATGTTTGAGAGTTCTGATTTCTCTATATCCTTGCCAACACTCGTTAATGGTTTTTTGATTATCGCTATCCTGGTGCGTTTGAAGTGGTATCTCATCATAGCTTTGGTTCGCATTTCCCCGTGACTAATGATGTTTAGCATCTTTTCATGTGCTTATTGACCATTTGCATATTTTTTGGATAAATGTCTTTCCTAATCATTTCTCCATTTTAAAAATGAAATCATCTGTCTTATTAGTTGAAATAATTATTTCTATATTCTTGATATAGGTTCCTTATTGTACAAATGTTTTGCAAATGTTTTAACTTGATCTGTAGCTTGTGTTTTAATTTTCATAATTTTGACCTTTGTAGCACAAAAGGTTTGAATTTTAATAAAGTCCAAGTAGTCTTTAAAAAGTTTCTCATGTTTTGGTGTCATAGCTAATAACATTTTGCCTAACCCAAGAACATGAACATTTTTGTGTTTTCTTCTAGAAGTTTTATCATTAAGATCTGATATAATTCATTGTGACTTAACTATTTGCATGGTTGAATTAAGGGTCAACGTTTATTTATTTGCATATGAACAAAGAGTTGTCCCAGTAGTACTTGTTGAAAACTGTAATTATTTCTTCATCGAATGGTCTTAGCATCTGTTGAAAATCAATTGACAATAAATGTAAGGGTTTATTTCTGGAATCTCAATTATATTTCATTGATAGATATTTCTATTTTTTTCTAATACCACATTGTCTTGATTCCTATAGTTTTATGATAAATTTTGAATTTGGGAAATGTAACTTCTTTAACTGTGTTATTCTTTTTAAAGATGGTTTTGGCTACTTTGAGTCTTTTGAATTTCTATATGAATTTTAGAATCAACTTTTCAATTAATGCAAAGGAGGCAAATATTGATGGGATGGTGTTGAACCTGTAGAGTAATTTTGGGAGTATTGCCATGTTAACAATGTTAAGTTTTCCAATGCATGAACACAGGATTTCATTGCATCTTTATTTAGATTTTCTGTAATTTCTCTTAACAACGTTTTGTAGTCTTTAGCATACATGTATTGTGCTTCTTTAATTAAACTGAATTTTTAATATGTTATTCTTTTGATTGCTATTGTAAATGGAATTGTTTTCTTTCTTTCTAATATAAATGCCTTTTATTTCTTTTTGTTTAATAATTACCTTGACTAGAACTTCCCATACTTTTAAAGTAAGTAGTTAGGCAGACATGAGCAGAAAAAAGGAGAGCCCCTCCCAGGAATGTCAGGTGACCATCAGGTGATGGTCAGGCAGTTGTTAACGGTCTCTCTAAAATAATAATCCGTGGCAGCCAGACCAGGGAAGGGCAATCTCCCAATAGATAGATAGAAAACACCTCAAGCTGCTGATCAACAGCTTCCCCATAAGGTTTCAGGAGTTGGGCGAGCAGGCTCAAGCATGTTCACTAAGAGGCAAAATGGTGGAGTTTAACCAGTATATGACCTTCCTCTAAGAACACTGATAAGTTGAGCATGTGCACAGCTTCAGTAAACACACTGTGCATGTGGCCCCTCCCAAGTGCTGACAGGCCACTGTGCATATGGAGAGCTTGCTCCAAGAACAGAATCAGAAGAAAAGAAATACAAACCCTGGAACCATGCCAATATATAAAACCCCAAGTCAAGGGTCAGACGGGGCAGTTGGATCTCTCAAGTCATGCGCTTGGCTCTCTTCCAAGTCTACTTTGTTTCCTTTTGTTCCTACCTGAAGCTCTTTCATAAACTTTCACTCCTGTTCTAAAACTTGCCTTAGTTTCTCCCTCTGTCTTAAAACTACTTCTGCCCCTTGCCTGAATTCTTTCATCTGAGGAGGCAAGAATCAAGTTGCTGCAGACCCCTCTGGATTCCCTGCTGGTAATGGTACACCATTGAATAGAAGTGGTGAGAGAGGACATCTCTGTCCTTGTCCTGACCTCAGGAGGAAAGCTTTTATTTCTTTATTATTAAGTATAATATTAGGTAGAGTTGTATTAGGCACTCATCTAACTGCCTGAAACATATTATTTCTTTTAACCTTTACATCAGCAATATGAGGAAATAGCTACTAGTATTTCTATTTTACAGGTCAAAAACTGTCACATAAGTTAGTAAGTGGTCAAGCCAGAATATAAGTGAGACAACCAGACATGAGAATTCACTTTAATTGTACTTCTGTACTGTCTCAATAATTATTAGTTTAATTACATTGATTGGAACTATGGTTGGTTTAATATTTTAAAAACTGACATAAATTCTACTATATTGTATATGAACTTTATAATTTAATGATTTATTGATGGGAAACTGTAAGCAGTGGATTGGTTTTTCTGTGTTTCAAAAACTTTAAAGTGTCATGATAATGAATGAAATAGTAATAATGGTAAGGAAAACATAAAGATTAAAATCACTTGTCTGAGACTAATACTGGATCTCTGTGTGACTTTATATATGTTTATTAATTTTTTTTTTTTTTTTTTTTTTTTTTTTTTTTGAGACGGAGTCTCGCTCTGTCGCCCAGGCCGGACTGCGGACTGCAGTGGCGCAATCTCGGCTCACTGCAAGCTCCGCTTCCCGGGTTCACGCCATTCTCCTGCCTCAGCCTCCCGAGTAGCTGGGACTACAGGCGCCCGCCACCGCGCCCGGCTAATTTTTTGTATTTTTTTTTTTTAGTAGAGATGGGGTTTCACCTTGTTAGCCAGGATGGTCTCGATCTCCTGACCTCATGATCCACCCGCCTCGGCCTCCCAAAGTGCTGGGATTACAGGCGTGAGCCACCGCGCCCGGCCTGTTTATTAATTTTTAAGGCTCTTTTCTCTCTGAAGGATTCATCTGATTTCAATGCCTCTTTCAGCTTTAACATCTGATGAATTCATAACGTTTGTCATAAAAAATTAGTTAATACAAAAATTATCATAATTTTTAAAAATGTTGCTTATTGAGATATATCAGCTCCCTTCACCATTTTGATCTGTGCAGAATAAATATTTTATAATCAAAAGAGACTCTACTGTTTCAAGGATCTCATGGTGTTCTGAGGATGATCAGGCAAGCTTTCCTCCTTGATTCTGGTCATGAAACCAACTCTCTCCATTCTCCTTCAGGCCATAATTCTTCTTTTTTTATTTTTTTGATTTGAGCTGAAACAAGAGTAAGTGGATACAAAGGGAGGGGGAATATAGAATTTTTTTATACCCGTTGTGGTTTGATTCTAAAATAAAGAAAAAAATCTAGAGTATTTGAGTTCCCACTGATATGCCTGCTATACTTACATGTATATTTGAAATATACGAACTTTAAAAATTAGGATTGTTAACATTCACTTTAAGTGAAAAATCAAGACATTTAGTTCTCAACAAAAGAAGTAATTTTTTAACTACTAAACCAGAACCTGGCTAG
The DNA here is from genome assembly GCF_000001405.40 of Homo sapiens. NCBI lineage: Eukaryota > Metazoa > Chordata > Mammalia > Primates > Hominidae > Homo > Homo sapiens. Next base: position 9,459,549 of record NC_000006.12, on the reverse strand, counting down.
AGTAGTGCTCTGTTTTAAACCCAAGTAACTATTTCAATTGGCTATGGCAAACTCTGAGACTGTTGAGTGCTAGAAAAATAGTTTATTTCAGGACTTGATCAATATGAGAAGGGCTAAAACTACAGCTCAAAGAAAACTTTGAAAATCAAGAAGTTCATTGAGAAAAAAAGACAAACAAAAATCGTTTAATTAGGGTGGATTCTGTTTTGTAAACAAAACCTTTCCATATTTAAAACTCCTCCTTGTGCAAATTAAAGATTTAGGGGATAGATTAAGAAACTCATGTGTCCCATGGTAACCTCAGGTATAATTGAATGAATAAAAATTGTAATTATTTCATAGGCATACTATTAGGTCTTAAAATATTTATGAGAGAATGAAAGAACATAGAAGTTACAATTTCCCCCTCTTTTAGTAGAAAACAACCAAAGTACAGATAATAAAATTCCCCACCCCAAAACTTTACTCACCTCCTTGGAACTAAGATTGAGAAAAATAAATATGTAAATAATTCCCAGTTAATAACTAAACTGAGGGCATGTGAACAAATTCACAGTTAACATTAAATGTTTTGGAAACAAATGTTAATAAAAGTTTTCGTTTTGGAATATAAGGATTCTTATTGTGATCTTGATAAAGAAAAATACTGTCATATTGAAAGGGAAATCAAAGCTATAGTGTAATGTAGTAGATGACAAGAACAAAAGCAGTTAATTCTTCTGTTTCCACCTCCAACAGGCAGGCTAATCAGTTGTAATTAAGAGGCAAAGTACCAGTCTAATAAACAGCACTTGTCACCAGTTGTCATCTTAGTGATCAATTCATAGCTCCATCACAATGAGAGGACCCTTCAAGTCCTCTAATAACCTGACTCCTTGGAGAAGTGGAGGATTAGGAAGTGGATAATGGATTGTTAGGCTCTAATGAAGTAGAGGGTAAGGAGATGAAACCTCTCAGCTGGGGAGGTGGGGGTAATGCGGGGGCTGAGCAGAGGCTTGCAAGAATAAATTTTAATTAAGGTTTTGGTTCACTTTGGTTTCTTATATTTGAGTAAATAAAGTTAATTGAAGAGATTGAAGACTACTCTTCTGATTGAGTTTTCTTCTTTTCTCCATTTTTCCTTTTCTGATATTTGTAGATAATTTTTTTCAGTCAGTACCTACTCCAAGCTTTTTTTCTTTTTGATACATTACATTTGGAAGCATACTTTCTTCATTTTAACTTCTCTCATTTGATTTTTAAATATTTGTTTTTTTCCCTAACCACTTAAATAAAAATCATATTGTAAGGAAATACAGAGTAAGCATCAAGCTTTGTTTTTTGCCACTTAGCCTAGTTTTGTGTATGAACATTAAACAATAATAAAAGTGGCTGTGTTTTGTACATTACATCGTATGCTGACTCTAAGAGGCAACAGGGCCTTACATAAGTAGAAAATACAAGCAGGTTTCACGTGTGGTTTATTGGCTCAGCCAAAGCAACTGTAAAACCCTTTTGCAGCATTTGCTAGTTTGTAAAGGTTATCCTTTTAATGACCAATATAAATGCACTCCTTAATGTTTTAAGCAATTTGTTTTCCAACACCGGCAAGTTAAAAAATGAATTCATATGACAAGAGCCCAGGTACACATGAAGCTATGTGGATCGCTTGTACCGTTTTTCCTTGCCAGAGTGGCAGTATGTATTATTATTAAATCAGGCTACAAGAAATGGGAGCGATCAGGCGGTCTAAATCCTTTGCTTTGGGCTGCAACACATCAATCTGCTTGTAGACCAGAGAAACTCTTCATCATGTTAAAAATTAATGTCATTATCTTCTTTGGTTACATAGTCCAGTAGTCAATAATTTTTCACCTTTCATTAATCTGAGAGTGAGGCTTATCCATATGTATATAGTTGTTCCTATTACTTTATATGTCATCACTTCAGCAGATTACATTATTTGGTTGGATCTAAACCACTGCAGCTGCAAATGTAAGCTCATTTACTCAGGATTCTTATTGCTATTCTAAACAGAAACACCCTTCAACATGGCCCTACTTTTAAAAACTTTGCTATATCAAACACTTATAGCTAAAGGACTTCAGATACATATCAGCTTATGAAAGATTTCAGAACTTTAAGTCTTTGGGAACTTCCAAAGATTTAGGAGAAAACATGTTAACATTCATCTTTTGCCTTTGAAAGTCCATCTTTATTATCAAACTAGGGACTAAACTAGTCTGTGATAGAAATATGAGTGATGCCTTATTTTTCTTAATCAGTGTCATTGAAGTGACTGAAAGATTGAAAGCAGAGTCTGATAGTATTTCAGTTACTTTAAAATTTGAACCAAATTTGAAAAAGAAAATAAGAATTAAGAACATTACCATCTGTACTTTAGAAATCAAAAGTCATTAATTTCTATTATTCTCCAAAATGTCAGTTTATCCAGTGTGCTGTGACAGAATCTGTGTATCCATTATCTATCCCATTAGGACTAATGAGACCTCATTTTTTTTCCTCTCCCTAAAATCAAATCCAAGGACCAAGTGGCTGTGTTTTCATGAGATTCTCTTTCCAATGGGATTGTTTAAACATTCTGTATGGGGTAAGAACGTTTCCCACCACCCAAGCACCCCCGTTTATTCTTTTCTCCAGAGCCCTGCTTGGGGCGCACCATACACAGATAATATTAAAGGAACAAGGTCAACGTGTCACCTGCTTTTATTTATTTATTTTTCTTTTGTGCTCAACAGATTGTTGTCCTCACAATGGCACACTGGAGGAACATGAGCCCTGCTTCCTCTTGAGATGTCTTGTTGTGAGATATTAGAATAGCAAAGGGCTCATCTATGCATCCTTGGGGTGGGGCGGGGGAGGAGGGGACCATTTCAACCCACATTTCACACTGCAGTCATCAATTCATTGGCTTAAAAAAGAGAGGGAGAAAAAAAGAAGCCTGCTCTGTCCTTGTGCAGCTGCGGCAGGCAGGAGCTGGAACATATGCCTGTCTGAAAGAGGACGAGCTGGGAAGGCTTCTCAGGAGAAGGCACACAAAGAAAGCCAATCTTCTCCACAAAGCGTGGAATGACTTAAACACTCTATTGTATTAAATATGAATGAGCCCTCATTGTGGAGCACAGTGTGTGGGGACCCATGGTGTCCTCCCATTAGCCACAAGATTAACCAGATTACACGGGAAGCTGCTAAGGTAAATAAAGCCAGCCTTCTGTCACTTCCTCCCCCAGGCCTGGCCAACAAGGGGCTGAAGAGCTGGCCCCTTTGTAGTCAACTGGGTGGAAAGAAGAAATAACCATGAATGTCATGCTTGGTAATTAAAAAAAGAGAGAGAGACAGACAGAGAGAGAGAGAGAGAGAAAGAAAGTTGTCTCCAGGGACTATCTATGAGAAACAGTGTGAAAACATCTTTCTGATCAACTAACATGTCAGTATTGTTCCCTTTGACCAGATAGGACTAATCTAACCCTCCCCTAAACAGGAGCCTGTATTCCCTTTTGTGGTTCAGGGACAAAAACCCCCACAAAACGTGAATTAAAGCTGCCTGATTCTGCTCATTAGGGGTGAGAGCGGATCATTCTGTGCCTACAAATCTGCCTGCCTGTTAACCCTCTTCCATCCCTCTCTACATGTGGGTGCCTCTTCCCTCCACTTCTGCACTCCTGCTCGTTCTTGTGAACAGATAAACGACCGTGGTTAATTGGTTTATGGAAATTGCACCAAAGTTACAATTCTCATAGCAGCTTGAGCCTTAAGAAAATGCAAGGAAATGGGAACCACTTCTGCTGGTACCAATGAGAGAAATAAACATTATCTGAATTCTAACCTGATATACAAATAGCTGATGTGTAAGATGCCTTGTGAAATATATTTTCGTTTCTTGACATAATATTAAAGTGAAATTTTTTTGTGACTCATATTTAAAGTGATATCTGTCTGAAGACTAGTGCTTACTTAATGACAAATAAAAGCCTGGATTTCTGTTAGTGGGGAAAAAAAACTTCAATGTCCAAACAAACCACATAGACATAGTGGCTGAGAAACAGAATGGTTTGGTAAATTAAAGTACAAATGAATAAAAATTTAAGAATTTATTTTGGCTATCTTTAGACATTTCAAATTAAGCCATATTTTAAATAAGTAGAAAGGCTAGGTATTATACCTCTGATAAGCATAAATCCATGGGCAAAACATTTTAAACATAGCATTGTGAGAGGTAACCATTAATTTCTGTTTTTATATAATTTTTGTCTGCCTCAGAGTTGCCTTATTATTGAAAATATAAAATAATTAGTATTTTCCCCAAATTTGTTTACTGCTGTTGACCCCTCTCTAAAAAGTTTATAACACCTACGTAAGATGTAAGTCCATCTGACATAAAAACCAAAAAACTGGTTTCCAAGTTCCCTTTCAGAGTAATATAAGACACACTAATAATTTGAAGAACTCTTTGCAGTATTTTTTAAATAGATATATAGAACCTTATGTATACTGATCTTAATTTTAAAATATAATTATTCATCTTCTACAGTGCTTTTTCTCCTAATCATAAAATTATGGGGGTAGAAAGACATTTACCCCAAATGATAAGAGCAAAATTCCACATTGAGAAAAAGTTCCTAATGTTCTAACAATTCAGGCAAATGTTAAATAAGGTATGAAAAAAATTACCAATTAAACAAATGAAATAATAGAGCTTTTGTTATTAATTGAACAATTCATCGATTCAGGGAGTTGTGTGTGTGTGTGTGTGTGTGTGTGTGTGTGTGTGTGTGTGTTTGTGTTCCCTCTCCCCCTGCATTCCCCATGTTAAAAGCAGGTGTACCAAGGACTGAAGAAATACAGATTCTGATTTGCGGGGGGTCTCAATCTAAGGACAGAGAGCACATTAGAACAGAGATTTTCCTGGATTATTTAGGATTTGATTTCTTTTCATGGAAAGCCATCATTTAACTTCTTTTGGTGGAAACATTTGTAAGCTATCTAATTATTCATTTTTCCTTGTCAAAAGGAAACAATCACAATTTAAATTGCTTTTGATTCAAGACTATCCTAAATGTCAACCATTACGGTGTTGTCTGGATAGGGCAGTGACTGCCTGGGGTAGATGGTGTGGTCCTAGAGTTGAAGTCTTTGGGTTCCTCTTGCTCCCCACCCACTTAGACTACCCAATCATACTCTGAGTATCTCTTTAACATGATGTGATGATTTCTTTGGAGGCAGAGGTCTGAACTCGTGATGGTTATTGTCATGTACTCTAAATGATTGTCTCCTCCCTTCTAAAATACACATTGTGGAGCTGTTTTGCTATCATTCTTTTCATGTTCTTCTTTCCTGTCTATTTCACTTTGTGTTGCTTTTTTCTCATCTTTAAACATTTTTCACTTTAACTGTTGCTTTATGGATGGTACCTTGAACCTCTTTTTCAGCTAGTTATAGAATCAACTAATCCCAACTGTGACATTAGTGTTTTTGTGATTCTTGATGATTTTCTAAACCTATGAGGCTTCTCGATGTTTTTTTGTTTTGTTTTGTTTTTTGTTTTTTTCCAATTCTAGCTTGAAAATAACCTGAAATTTGAGAAATTCTAGAATGCAGGTTTCCAGAAAA